>NC_000005.10:87685564-87988594 GCF_000001405.40 Homo sapiens
TGGTCACCCTGCTTTAAAATAACATTTTGGAACTACTCTTTCTCCTGTATTTTTATCCCCTTCTCACTTAGACCTATTTGGATCCTACTCAGCTATAAAAATCCTCCTGAAGGCCAGGCACAGTTGGTCATGCCTGTAATCCCAGCACTTTGGGAGGCCGAAGCGGGTGGATCACTGGAGGTCAGGAGTTCGTGACCAGCCTGGACAACATGGTGAAACCCCATCTCTACTAAAAATACAAACATTAGCTAGGTGTGGTGGCATGTGGCTGTAATCCCAGCTACTTGGGAAGCTGAGGCAGGAAAATCACTTGAACTCTGAACCCGGGAGGTGGAGGTTGCAGTGAGCTGAGATCACACCACTGCACTCCAGCCTGGGTGACAAAGTGAAACTGTCTCAAAGAAAAAAAATCCTCCTTAAGTGTTGATTCCATCCTCAATTCAGAATTATAATTGCTTACCTTTACTTTGATTTTACTTAACATTTAGAATTTGTGTCATTTTATCTTGAATCACAGTTATTTGTGGCATGTGCCTCTCCTCTATTAAAATTTAAACTCCTCACCTAGAGATCATTATCTTAGCTATGCTGAACCACCACTACCACCAATGTCAAACTCTATACTTCCTATTTGGTAGATACTTAATAAATATTTACTGAACTTAACTAAAAGAAGCCTACTATTGTTATAAGTCCCTTTTCTCTTTTACTACTTTAGAGCAAGTTACAAGATTCATGGCAATTTTATATTTGCTAGATCTGAAAGGCTATATCATTTCAATCTGTTTGCATTACAAAGCCATAAAAACTTGTTCAATAATTTTATAACTATTTACTTGAATTACATTTCAAACATGACATTACATTTAGTTCTAGGACAGAAAAATGCTGTATCATTTTAATTTAAAGCAACCAAAGTACTCTTTTGAAAATGAATATGAAGATGGAAGAATGGTTTTCAAAATTTATTTGAAAACATGGAAACACTGTTTGTGAAACAAAATTATGTCTATTGACATTCTAATGAAAATGAGATCAAGACAGTAGCAAAGAAATGTGTTGTTGGGGAAAATCATGTGCTATATAAGATTATCAAGTTTCTGGCTTTTGTTGTGAGTGACATGTGTTTATTTATTACTTAAAATAACTAATTAAATAATAACTAAAACATAGGCTATATATGAACCAATGATAAGACCACATTATAAACTATAGGTTATGATTAATCCTAAGCTGTACCACTAAAGTACAATAAAAAAAGTATGGTTGTCAATAATGTAGATAAACAGAAATATATCATGTCTATATTTTTACACTGGATGTCAGCCCACTTCAACACCCATATATATGCTGAACATGTGTTACAGACTTCAGACTTGAATTTTCTTGTTGTTGCTATTGTGGTTAAAAAAAACCTACATATCATGAAATCTACCCTCTGAAAATTTTAATTATAATTATATTAAACTAATTATAATTATATTAAACTAATTACAACAATATTGTTAGGTATAAGCATGGTGTTGTACAGAAGATTGCTAGAACTTTTTCATCTTGCATAACTGAAACTTTATACCCATCGAACAATGACTCTTCACTTCCTCTTCCAGCCCAGCAACCACCATTCTACTTTCTGTTTCTGTGGGTTTGACTACTATATATGCCTTGTATAAGTGGAATCATATGTTATTTGCCTTTTTGTGATGTGTTTATTTCACTTAGCATAATGTTCTCAAGGTTCATACATGTTGTTGCATATGATAGGATTGCCTTCTTGCTTTAAGGACAATAACATTTTATTGTATGTATATGCTACATTTTCCTCATCCATTCATCTGTTGATGGACATATAGGGCATGGTGAATAATGCTGCAATGAACATGGGTGTGCAAGTAACTTCAAAATCCAGCTTTCAGTTGTTTTAGAAATATATACCCAGAAGTGGAAATTCTGGGTCTTACGGTGGTTCTACATTTAAATTTTGGAGGAATCTTCATACTTTCTACAGTAGCTGCCCCATTTCACATTCCAACCAAGAGTGCACATCAATCCCAACTTCTCCACATCCTCACCAATACTTGTTTTTTTTCATAATGAGTATCCCAACAGATGTGAGGTTATATGTCATTGTGGTTTTGATTTGCATTTCCCTGATGATTAGTAATATTGAGCATCTTAACATATTTTTGTGGCCATTTTGTGTCTCCTTGGAAAATTGCATGTTTAAGTCCTTTGTCCATTTTTTAAACTATAAGGGTTTTATTGCTATTGAGTTGTAGAAGTTCTTTATATATTTAAGATATTAACTCCTTATCAGATACTTGGTTTGTAAATATTTTTTTCTCATTCTGTAGGTTACTTTTCCATTCTGCTGATTGTTTCCTTTGCTGTACAGAAGCTTGATGTAGTTTGGTGTAGTGCCACGTCTATTTTTACTTTTTGTTGGCTGTGCTTTTGGCATTTTGTAAAAGAAATAATTGATAAGACCAGTGTCATAAAGCTTTTCCCCTTTGTTTCTTTCTAGGAGCTTTAAAGTTTCAGGTATCATATTTAAGCCTTTACTCCATTTTGAGTTGATTTTTCTGTATTGGGTTATGTAAGAAAGAGTCCAACTTTATTCTTTGGTATGTGGATATTCAGTTTTCCCAACACCATTTGTTGAAGAGACTTTTTCCCATTGCGTATTCTTGGCATACTTGTCAAATATGAGTTGACTGTATATGTATAGGTTTATTTCTGGGCTCTCTATTCTGTTCTATCAGTCTATATATCTATTTTTACTCCAGTACCACACTGTTTTAATTACTGTAGCTTTGTAATGTGCTTTGAAATTACATATTCAAGTGTGAGAATTCTAGCTTTGTTCATTCTCAAGATGGTTTGGCTATTTGAAGTCCTCTGTGGTTTCATATGAATTGTAGAATTGTTTTTACTATTTCTGTAAAACATTCCATTAAGATTTGATAGAAATTGCATTGAATCTGTAGATCATTTTCAATAGTATGTACATTTTAACAATATTAAGTCTTCCAATTCATGAACATGGAAAGTCTCTCCATTTCTTTGTCTTTTGAAATTTCTTTCATCAATGTTTTGTGATTTTCCGTGTACAAGTCTTTCACTTCCTCAGTTAAGTTTCTGTCTTATTCTTTTTTTTTTACTTTGAGACAGAGTCTCGCTCTGTCGCCCAGGCTGGAGTGTGGTGGTGCAATCTCAGCTCACTCACCGCAAGCTCCACCTCCCAGGTTCATGCCATTCTCCTGCCTCAGGCTTCCAAGTAGCTGGGACTACAGGCATCTGCCACCACACCCGGCTAATTTTTTTGTATTTTTAATAGAGACAGGATTTCACGATGTGAGCCAGGATGGTCTCGATCTCCTGACCTCATGATCTGCCCACCTTGGCCTCCCAAAGTGCTGGGATTACAGGTGTGAGCCACCGCGCCCAGCTGTCTTATTCTTTTGGATGCTCTTTTAAATGGGCTTGTTTCCTTAATTTTCTTTTTGGATAATTCATTTTTAGTGTATAGAAATACAACTCATTTTTGTATGTTGATCTTCTGTCCTGCAACTTTGCCAGATTCATTTATTAGTTCTAATAGTTTTTTATGGAGTCTTTTTTTCTACACATAAGATTATGTCATTGCAAACAGAGATAATTTTACATCTTCCTTTCTGATTTGAATTTCTTTGATTTCTTTCTCTTGCCTAATTGCTTTCCCTAGGACTTCCAGTATTACATTGAATAGAAGTGGTAAGAATGGACATTCTTGCTTTGTTCCCAATCTTAGAGAAAAAGATTTTAGTTTTTCATCATTGAGCATGATGTTGGCTGTGGGCTTTTCATATATGACTTTATTATGTTAAGGTAATTTCCTTCTATTTTTAGTTTATTGAGTGTTATTTGTAAAAAGTGTCGGGTGCTTCTTCTTATCTATTGAGATAATCATGTGAGTTTTATCCATTATTCTACTAATATAGTATATCACTACATTAATTGATTTTTAAATGCTGAACCATTCTTGCATCAAAGAGATAACTCCCACTTAATCATGGTGTATGATTCTTTTAATGTGCTATTGAATCTGTTTGCTAATGTTTTGTGGAGTATTTTTCTATTTATGTTCATTAGGGATATTGGCCTATAGTCCTCTTTTCTTGAAGTGTCTTTGTCTCATGTTACTATCAGGATAGTGTTGGCCATAAAAAATAAGTTTAAAAGTGTTCATTTCTCTTCAATTTTTGAAAGAATTTGAGAAAAATTGGTATTAACTTTCTTTAAATGTTTAGTAGATTTCACCAATGAAGCCATCTGGTTCTGGGCTTTTCCTTGTCAAGAGGTTTTGATAACTTATTCAATTTCTTACTGGTTATAACCTATAGGTCTGTTCAGATTGTCTATTTCTTTATGATTCAGTCTTGGTACATTGGGTGATAATAGAAACATCCATTTCACCTAGCTTATCTAATTTGTTAGCATATAATTATTCGTAGTAATCTTTTTGATACTTTTTATTTCTGTAGTATCAATTGTAATGTCTCTTCTTTTATTTTATTTTATTTTGAGACAAGGTCTCACTCTGTTGCCCAAGCTGGCCTTGAACTCCTGGGCTCAAGCAATTCCAATGCCATGCCTCAGCCACCCAAGTAGCTGGGACTATAAGTGCGTGCCGCCATGCCCAGCTTCCTTTTTTTTTTTTTTTTTGAGATGGAGTCTCACTCTGTCTCTCAGGTTGGAGTGCAGTGGCGTGATCTCGGCTCACTGCAACCTCTGCCTCCCAGGTTCAGGCAATTCTCCTGCCTCAGCCTCCCGAGTAGCTGGGACTACAGGTGCATCCCACCACGCCTAGATAATTTTTGTATTTTTAGTAGAGACGGGATTTCACTGTGTTAGCCAGGATGGTCTCGATCTCCTGACCTCAAGATCCGCCCCCCTCGGCCTCTCAAAGTGCTGGGATTACAGGTGTGAGCCACCGTGCGCAGCCTCAGCTTCCTGTAATGTCTCCTTTTTCATTTCTGATTTTATTTGAGTCTTTTCTCTTCTCTTTCTTGGTAATTCTGGCTAAAATTTTGTCAATTTTATCTTTTCAAAAAAACCCTCAGTTTTATCACATAATTTCTATTGTTTTTTATTTCCCATTTTGTTTATTTCTACTCTAAGCTTCTTTGTTTTTCCCCTTCTACTAAATTTTGTGGTCATTGAGGTGCAAAATTAGGTTGTTTATTTGATATCTTTCTTTTTTTAATGTAGGCATTTACTGCTATAAACTTCTAAGTATTGCTTTTGCTGCATTCCATAGGTTTTGGTATGTTGTATTTCATTTTTGTTTTTCTCAAAATATTTTCCGATTTTGCTTTTGATTTCTTCTTTGATCCATTAGCTGTTCAAGAATATATTTTTTACTTTCCACATATTAATGAAAAATTTCCAGTTTTCTTTCTTTTGTTGATTTCTAGTTTCATTCCATTGTGGTCACAAAAATACTTTGTATTATTTCAATCTCATTAAATTTGTTAACTTATTTTGTGACCTAACATGTAATCTATCTTGAAGAATGTTCCAAGTATGCCTGAGAAGAATGTGTATTCTGCTGCTGTTGGATGATATGTTCTGTATATATCTGTTAGGTTCATTTGATCTATGTTATTTTTCAGATTTGCTGTCTCATTAATTATCTGTCTGAATATTCTATCCCTTATTGAAAGGAGGGGTATTGAAGTATTCTAATATTATTGTATTGCTGTTTCTCTCTTCAGTTATGTCAATATTTCCTTTATATATTTAGGTACTCTGATGACAGATGTATATGCTTTGTAATTGTTTTATCTCCCTGGCAATTTAACGCTTTTATGATTATATAATGTCCATCTTTGTTTCTTGTGGCAGTTTATTACTTAAGTCTATTTTGTCTGATATAAACACAGCCATCCCTGCTCCCTTTGGGTTACCATTTCCATAGAATACCTTTTCTCCACCTTTTATCATTCAGTCTGTGTGTCTTTAAATCTAAAATTATTCTCTCATAGACAGTAAAACGTTGAGTTTTCTTGTATCCATTCAGCCACTATGCGCCTTTTGATGGGGGAGTTTAATCTATTTACAAGTAATATTGATAGGTAAGGATTTATTATTGCCATTTTATTAATTTTTTTGTCTATTTTGTAGCTTTTTTGTCTCTCTTTTGTTATCTTCCTGGTGTTTCAATTATTATTTTGTAGTGATTTGCTGCACCTATCAACCCATCACCTAGATATTCAGCCCAGCATGCCTTAGCCATTTTTCCTGATGCTCTCCCTTTTCCCGGCCCCTCCTGAGAGGCCCCAGTGTGTGTTGTTCCCCTCTCTTTGTCTATGTGTTCACATTGTTCAACTCCCACTGATAAGCGAGAACATGTGGTGTTTGGTTTTCTGTTCCTGTGTTAGTTTGCTGAGGTTAATGGCTTCCAGCTCCATCCATGTCCATAAAAAGGGACACAATCACATCCCTTTTTATGGCTGCATAGTATCCCTTGGTATATACGCACCACATGTTCTTTGTCCAGTCTATCATTGATGGGCATTTGGGTTGACTCCATGTCTTTGCTATTGTGAATAGTGCTCCAGTGAACATAATGTGTACATGTATCTTTATAACAGAATGATTTATATTCCTTTGGGTATACACCCAGTAATGGGATTTCTGGGTCAAATGGTATTTCTGGGTCTAGAGCTTTGAGGAATCACCATACTATCTTCCACAATGGTTGAACTAATTTACGTTCCCACCAACAGTGAAAAGCGTTCCTATTTCTCTGCAGTCTCACCAGCATCTGATGTTTCTTGACTTTTTAACAATCACCATTCTGACTGGCATGAGATAGTATCTCATTATGGTTTTAATTTGCATGTCTCTAATGATCAGTGATGTTGAGCTTTTTTTCATATGTTTGGTGGCTGCATGTATGTCTTCTTTTGAAAAGTGTCCTTTGCCCACTTTTTAATAGGGTTGCTTGTTTATTTATTGTGAATTTGCTTAAGTTCCTTGTAGATTCTGGATATTAGACCTTTGTCAGATGGATATATTGCAAAAATTTTCTTCCATTTTGTAGGTTGTCTGTTTGCTCTTATGATCATTTTCTTTGCTGTGCAGAAGCTCTTTAGTTTAATTAGATCCCATTTGTCAATTTTTTGGTCGCAATTGTTTTTGAGGTTTTCGTTATGAAATCTTTGCCATTACCTATGTCCTGAATGGTATTGCCTAGATTTTCTTCTAGGGTTTTTACAGTTTTGGGTTTTACATTTAAGTCTTTAATTCATCTTGAATTAATTTTTGTATAAGGTATAAGGAAGGGGTCCAGTTTCAATTTTCTGCATATAACTAGCCAGTTCTCCCAGCGTCATTTCTTAAATAGGAATCCTTTCCCCATGCTTGTTTTTGTGAGATTTGTCAAAGATCAGATGGTTGTAGATATGTGGTCTCATTTCTGATTTCTCTATTCTATTCCATTAGTCTAAGTATCTGTTTTTGTACTAGTACCATGCTGTTTTATTACTGTAGCCTTGTAGTATAGTTTGAAGTCGGGTAGTGTGATGCCTCCAGCCTTGTTCTTTTTGCTTGGGATTGTCTTGGTTATTTAGGCTCATTTTTGGTTCCATATGAAATTTAAAGTATTTTTTTCTAATTCTGTGAAGAATGTCAATGGTTATTTAATGAGAATAGCATTGAATCTATAAATTGCTTTGGGCAGTATGGCCATTTTCAAGATACTGATTCTTCCTGTCCATGAGCATGGAATATTTTTTCACCAGTTCATGTCCTCTCTGATTTCCTTGAGCAGTGGTTTGTAGCTCTCATTGAAGAGGTCCCTCACTTCTCTTGTTAGCTGTATTCCTAGGTATTTTATTCTCTTTGTAGCAATTGTAAATGGGAGTTCATTTATGATTTGGCTCTCTGCTTGGCTGTTGTTGGTGTATAGGAATGTTTGTGATTTTTGCACATCGATTTTGTATCCTGAGACTCTGCTGAAGTTGCTCATCAGCTTAAGAAGCTTTTGGGTTGAAACAATGGGGTTTTCTAGATAGAGGATCATGTCATCTCCAAACAGAGACAATTTAACTTCTTTCTCTTCCTATTTGAATACCCTTTATTTCTTTCTCTTGCCTGATTTACCTGGCCAAAATTTCTAATACTATGTTGAATAGGAATGATGAGAGAGGGCATCCTTGTCTTCTGCTGGTTTTCAAGGGGAATGCTTCCAGCTTTTGCCCATTCAGTATGATATTGGCTGTGCATTAGTCATAAATGGCTCATTATTTTGAGGAATGTTCCTTCAATGTGCCTAATTTCTTGAGAGTTTTTAAGATAAAGCAATGTTGAATTTTATGGAAGGCCTTTTCTGCATCTATTGAGATAATTTTGTGGATTTTGTCATTGGTCCTGTTTGTGTGATGAAATCCATTAATTGATTTGCATATGTTGAACCAGTCTTGCATCCTTGGGATGAACCCAACTTGATCATGCTGAATAAGTTTCTTGATGTGCTGCTGGATTTGGTTTCCCAGTATTTTATTGAAGACTTTTGCATTGATGTTCATCAGGGATAGTGGCCTGAAGTTTTCTTATGTTGTTGTATCTCCGCTATGTTTGGTATCAGGAACATGCTGGCCTTATAAAATCAGTCAGGGAGAAGTCCTTCATTTCCTTTTATTATTATACTTTAAGTTTTAGGGTACGTGTGCACAATGTGCAGGTTTTATACATATGTATACATGTGCCATGTTGGTGTGCTGCACCCATTAACTCGTCATTTACATTAGTTATATCTCCTAATGCTATCCCTCCCCACTCCCCCCACCCCACAACAGGCCCTGGGGTGTGATGTTCCCCTTCCTGTGTCCACATGTTCTCATTGTTCAATTCCCACCTATGAGTGAGAACATGCAGTGTTTGGTTTTTTGTCCTTGCGATAGTTTGCTGAGAATGATGGTTTCCAGCTTCATCCATGTCCCTACAAAAGACATGAAATCATCCTTTTTTATGTCTGCATAGTATTCCATGGTGTATATGTGCCACATTTTCTTAATCCAGTCTATCATTGTTGGACATTTGGGTTGGTTCCAAGTCTTTGCTATTGTGAACAGTGCCGCAATAAACATACGTGTGCATGTGTCTTTATAGCAGCATGATTCATAATTCTTTAGGTATGTACCCAGCAATGGGATGGCTGGGTCAAATGGTATTTCTAGTTCTAGATCCCTGAGGAATCGCCACACTGACTTCCACAATGGTTGAACTACTTTACAGTCCCACCAACAGTGTAGAAGTGTTCCTATTTCTCCACATCCTCTCCAGCACCTGTTTTTTCCTGACGTTTTAATGATCGCCATTGTAACTGGTGTGAGATGGTATCTCATTGTGGTTTTGATTTGCATTTCTTTGATGGCCAGTGATCATGAGCATTTTTTCATGTCTTTTGGCTGCATAAATGTCTTCTTTTGAGAAGTGTCTGTTCATATCCTTCGCCCACTTGTTGATGGGGTTGTTTGTTTTTTTCTTGTAAATTTGTTGGAGTTCTTTGTAGATTCTGGATATTAGCCCTTTGTCAGATGAGTAGGTTGCAAAATTTTCTCCCATTCTGTAGGTTGCCTGTTCACTCTGATGGTGGTTTCTTTTGCTGTGCAGAAGTTCTTTAGTTTAATTAGATCCCATTTGTCAATTTTGGCTTTTGTTGCCATTGCTTTTGGTGTTTTAGACATGAAGTCCTTGCCCATGCCTATGTCCTGAATGGTATTGCCTAGGTTTTCTTCTAGGGTTTTTATGGTTTTAGGTCTAACATGTAAGTCTTTAATCCATCATGACTTAATTTTTGTATAAGGTGTAAGGAAGGGATGCAGTTTCAGCTTTCTACATATAGCTAGCCAGTTTTCCCAGCACCATTTATTAAATAGGGAATCCTTTCCCCATTTCTTGTTTTTGTCAGGTTTGTCAAAGATCAGATAGTTGTAGATATGTGGCATTATTTCTGAGGGCTCTATTCTGTTCCATTGGTCTATATCTCTCTTTTGGTACCACTACTATGCTGTTTTGCTTACTCATTCAAAAGCTAGCAGAAGGCAAGAAATAACTAAGATCAGAGCAGAACTGAAGCAGATAGAGACACAAAAAACCCTCCAAAAAAATCAATCAATCCAGGAGCTGGTTTTTTGAAAAGATCAACAGAATTGATAGACCGCTAGCAAGACTAATAAAGAAGAAAAGCGAGAAGAATCAAATAGATGCAATAAAAAATGATAAAGGGGATATCACCACTGATGCCACAGAAATACAAACTACCATCAGAGAATACTATAAACATCTCTACACAAATAAACTAGAAAATCTAGAAGAAATGGATAAATTCCTCGACACATACACCCTCCCACGACTAAACCAGGAAGAAGCTGAATCTCTGAATAGACCAATAACAGGCTCTGAAATTGAGGCAACAATTAATAGCTTACCAACGAAAAAAAATCCAGGACTAGACGGATTCACAGCCAAATTCTAGAAGAGGTAAAAGGAGGAGCTGCTACCAGTCCTTCTGAAACTATTCCAATCAATAGAAAAAGAGGGAATCCTCCCTAACTCATTTTATGAGGCCATCATCATCCTGATACCAAAGCCTGGCAGAGACACAACAAAAAAAGAAAATTTTAGATGAATATCCCTGATGAACATTGATACAAAAATCCTCAATAAAATACTGGAAAACCGAATCCAGCAGCACATCAAAAAGCTTATCCACCATGATCAAGTAGGCTTCATCCCTGGGATGCAAGGCTGGTTCAACATGCACAAATCAATAAATGTAATCCAGCATATAAACAGAACCAATTGCAAAAACCACATGATTATCTCAATAGATGCAGAAAAGGCCTTTGACAAAATTCAACAGCCCTTCATGCTAAAAACTCTCAATAAATTAGGTACTGATGGGATGTATCTCAAAATAATAACAGCTATTTAGGACAAACCCACAGCCAATATCATACTGAATGGGCAAAAATGGGAAGCATTCTCTTTGAAAACTGGCAGAAGACAGGGATGCTCTCTCTCACCACTCCTATTCAACATAGTTTTGGAAGTTCTGGCCAGGGCAATCAGGCAGGAGAAGGAAATAAAGGGTATTGAATTAGGAAAAGAAGAAGTCAAATTATCCCTGTTTGCAGATGACATGATTGTATATCTAGAAAACCCCATCATCTCAGCCCAAAATCTCCATAAGCTGATAAGCAACTTCAGCAAAGTCTCAGGATACAAAATCAATGTGCAAAAATCACAAGCATTCTTATACACCAATAACAGACAGAGAGCCAAATCATGAGTGAACTCCCATTCACAATTGCTTCAAAGAATAAAATACCTAGGAATCCAACTTACAAGTGATGTGAAGGACCTCTTCAAGGAGAACTACAAACCACTGCTCAATGAAATAAAAGAGTATACAAACAAATGGAAGAACATTCCATGCTCATGGGTAGGAAGAATCAATATCGTGAAAATGGCCATACTACCCAAGGTAATTTATAAGTTCAAAGCCATCCCCATCAAGCTACCAATGACTTTCTTCACAGAACTGGAAAAAACTACTTTAAAGTTCATATGGAACCAAAAAAAAGCCCGCATTGCCAAGACAATCCTAAGCCAAAAGAACAAAGCTGGAGGCATCACGCTACCTGACTTCAAACTATAATAGAAGTCCTTCCTTTTCAATTGTTTGGAATAGTTTCAGAAGAAATGGAACCAGCTCCTCTTTGTACCTCTGGTAGAATTCAGTGCAAATCCATCTAGTCCTGTGTTTTTTTGGGTTGATAGGTTATTTATTACTGCCTTAATTTTAGAACATGTTATTGGACTATTCAGGGATTGAACTTTTTTCTGGTTTAATCTTGGGAGGGTGTATGCGTCCAGGGATCTATGCATTTCCTCTAGATTTTTCAGTTTATTAGCATAAAGGTGTTTATAGTATTCTCTGATGGTTGTTTGCATTTCTGTGGCATCAGTGGTGATATCCCCTTTATCACTTTTTATTGTGTCTATCTTTGATTCTTCTCTCTTTTCTTATTAATATAGCTAGCAGTCTATTTTATTAATTTTTTCTAAAAATCCAAATCCTGGATTCGTTGATTTTTTGAAGGTTTTTTTTTTTTTATCTCTATCTCCTTCAGTTTTGTGTTGATCTTGGTTATTTCTTGTCTTCTGCTAGCTTTGGGGTTTGTTTGCTCTTGTTTCTCTGGTTCTTTTTGTTGTGATGTTAGGATGTAAATTTGAGAACTTTTTAGCTTTTTGATGTGGGCATTTAATGATATAAATTTCTCTCTTAACACTGCTTTAGCTGCATCCCTAAGAGTCTGGTATATTGTCTCTTTTTTCTCATTAGTTTTAAAGAACTTCTTAATTTCTGCCTTAATTTCATTATTTACCCAGGAGTCATTCAGGAGCAGGTTGTTCAATTTCCATGTAGTTGTGTGGTTTTGAGTAAGTTTCTTAACCTTGAGTTCTAATTTGATTGCATTGTGGTCTGAGAGACTATTATGATTTCAGTTCTTCTGCCTTTTCTAAGGAATGTTTTACTTCCAGTTATGTGATCAGTTTTAGAGTAAGTGCCATGTGGCACTTAGAAGAATGTATATTCTGTTGTTTGGGGGTGGAGAGATCTGTAGATATCTTTCAGGTCCACTTGAACCAGAGCTGAGTTCAAGTCTTGAATAGCTGTTAATTTTCTGTCTCAATGAACTGTCTACTATTGACAATGGGGTGTTAAAGTCTCCCACTATTAGTGTGTGGGAATCTAAGTCTCTTTGTAGGTCTCTAAGAACTTGTCTTATGGAGTCCTCCTGTATTGAGTGCATATACCTTTAGGACAGTTAGCTCTTCTTGTTGAATTGAACCTTTTACCATTATGTAATCTCCATCTTTGTCTTTTTTGATCTTTGTTTAAAGTCTGTTTTGTCAGAAACCAGGATTGCAACTTGGTTCTATTCGCTTGGTAAATTTTCCTCCATCCATTTATTTGCGCCCATGTGTGTCTTTACATGTGAGATGGGTCTCTTGAATACAGCACACCAGTGGATCTTGACTCTTTATTCAGCTTGCCATTCTGTCTTTTCATTGGTACATGTAGCCCATTTACATTTAAAGTTAATGTTTTTATGTTTGAATTTAATCCTGTCGTCAGGATTCTAGCTGGTCATTTTGCAGACTTGTTAATGAATTTAAACCTGTCATCATGATTCTAGCTGGTCATTTTGCAGACTTGTTAATGAATTTAAACCTGTCATCATGATTCTAGCTGGTCATTTTGCAGACTTGTTAATGAATTTAAACCTGTCATCATGATTCTAGCTGGTCATTTTGCAGACTTGTTAATGTAGTTGCTTCATAGTGACATTGGTAGGCGTACTTCAGTGTGTTTTTGTAGTGGCTGGTAACAATTTTTCCTTTCCATATTTAATGCTTCCTTCAGGAGCTCTTGCAAGATAGGGCTGATGGTGATGAATTCCCTTAGCTTTTGCTTATCTGAAAATGACTTTATTTCTCCTTTGTTTACGAAGATTAGTTTGACTGGATATGAAATTATAGGTTGGAAATTCTTTTCTTTAAGAAAGTTGACTATTGCCCTCCTGTCCCTTCTGGCTTGTAAGTTTCCTCTGAGAGGCCTGCTGTTAGTCTGATGGTGGGCTTTCCTTTGTAGGTGATCTGACCTTTCTCTCTGGCTGCCCTTAACATTTTTTTTCTTCCTTTCAACTTTGGAGAATCTGATGATTATGTGTCTTGGGGCTGATCTTCTCATGGAGTATTTTACTAGGGTTCTCTGGATTTCCTGAATTTGAATCTTGGCCTTTCTTGTTAGGTTGGGAAAGTTTTCCTGGGTGATACCCTGAAGTATGTTTTCCAACTTGGTTCCATTCTTCCCATCTCTTTCAGGTACCCCAATCAGTCATAGGTTCAGTCTTTTTACATAATCCCATAGTTCTTGAAGGTTTTGTTCATTCCCTGTCATTCTGTTTTCTCTAATCTTGTTTGCCTGTCTTATTTCAGGAATATAGTCTTCAAGCTCTGAGATTCTTTTCTCTGCTTGGCCTATTCAGCTGTTGATGCTCGTTGTTGCATTGTGAAGTTCTCATGTTGTGTTTTTCAGCTCCATCAGATTATTTATGTTCCTCTCTAAATTAGTTATTCTGGTTAACAGCTACTGCAATCAATATATATATATATATATATATATATATATATATATATATTTTTTTTTTTTTTTTTTTTTTTTTTTTTTTTTTGAGACAGAGCTTTGCTTCTGTCGCCCAGGCTGGAGTGCAGTGGCACAATCTTGGCTCACCGCAACTTCCGTCTCCCGGGTTCAAGCCATTCTCCTGCCTCAGCCTCCCAAGTAGCTGGGACTACAGGCGTATGCCACCACGCCTGGCTAATTTTTGTATTTTTAGTAGAGACAGGATTTCTCCATGTTGGTCAGGCTGGTCCTGAACTCCTGACCTCAGGTAATCCGCCCACCTTAGCCTCCCAAAGTGTTGGGATTACAGCCATGAGCCACCGCACCCAGCCACTCCTGCAATATTATATCATCATTCTTAGCTTCTTCCGAAACCTCCTTCTGTCAGTTCATCCATCTCAGCCTCAGCCCAGTTCTGTGCTCATGCTGGAGAGGTGTTGTGATTATTTTGAGGAGAAGAGGCTCTCTGGCATTTGGAATTTTCAGTGTTTTTGCATTGATTCTTTCTCATCTTCATGAACTTATCTACCTTCGATCTTTGAGGCTGCTGACCTTTGCATAGGGTTTTTGTGGGGTCTTTTTGTTGATGTTGTTGTTGCTTTCTGTTTGTTTGTTTTCCTTTTAACAGTCAGGCCCCTCTTCTCTAGGGCTGCTGTAGTTTACTGGGGGTCTGCTCCAGACCCTATTCACCTGGGTCCCTCCTGCACTTGGAGGTGTCACCAGTGGAGGCTACAGAACAGAAAGATGGCTGCCTGCTCTTTCCTCTGGGAGCTTTGTTGCAGAGGGACAACAATTTGATGTTAGTGGGAATGGTCCTGTATAAGGTGTCTGGTGACCCCTGTTGGGGGGTTCTCACACAGTTAGGAGGTATGGGATCAGGGACTTGCTTAACAAATAATTCTGGCTGCCCCTTAGCTGAGCAGTGTGCTGTGCCAGAGGGAATCCCCCTCATCTGGACTGCCTGGACTCTTCAGGGCTAGCAGACAAGAGAGGTTAAGTCTGATGAACCATGGAGATCATGGCTGCATTTCCTGCCATGGGCTCCATCTCAGGGAGATTAGAGTTCTGTCTGCAAACCCTGGCTGGAGTTATTGAAATTCCCACAGGGAGGCTTCACCCAGTGAGAAGGAATGGATCTGAGTCCCACCTAAACAAGAAGTCTGGCCATGATCTGCACACAGCCGCTGTGCTGCCCTGTGGAGAATTCCTCTTGGTCCAAACCACCCAGTCTCTCTGGCACCAGCAGGGGAAAACAACAGACTGGAGCCACAGTGATGGCTGTTCCCCTCCCCTTGGGAGGGAGTATTTGGCAGTCATCTTAGGCAGTCCCAATCATCTTATGCAGTATCCAGCCTGCAGCTGCTGGCTGCAACCTGAGCGGCCATCAAGCATCTGCACAGCTCTGTGCTTGGGAACCTAGGCCCTGGTGGCATGGGCTCACGAAGAGATCTCCTGATCTGAAGGTTGCACAGATCTGTGGAGAAAGTGTTGTTTCCCAGGTAGGGTAGCACAATCACTCACTTTCTCCCTTGGCTGAGGGTGGTAATTCCTCTTGTCCTGTGTGGCTCCTAGGTGAGCTGTCACTCCACTTTGCTTTTCCTCTCTCTTCATGGGTCACACCAACTGCCTAGTCAGTCCCAGTGAGAGAACCTGGCTACCTCAGCTGAAGGTGCAGGATTCACTTGCTGGTTTTCTTCTTTTTGGTGGGAGCCACTGACAGATAGCTACTTCCAGTCAGCCATCTTGGTGCCTCCTCCCAGCATCTTTATTCATGAGGCACACAACATTTTGTGGAGTTAACTAGAAGCTTCCAATTTTTCTGGGTGCATCCAGCATAATCCCTATCACAAGAATTCATAGGCCACAGTCTTTATAAAATGGGGTGCTTCATTCCTCTCATACTTGCATGTTAATGATATTGCAGCCTCAGCATCAGTTCAGCATGACTGGGGAGGCCTCAGAAAATTTGCTATCATGGCAGAAGGTGAAGCGGAAGCAAATCACCTTCTTCAGAAGGCAGCAGGTAGGAGAAGTCCACTATTGAAGAAAATAAGATTCTTCCCTTTTCTCTTTCTGCTCCTTCTGAGACTACCACCATGTGTATATCAGTTCACATCATGGTTTCCCATAAGTCCCTAGAGCTTTCTTCACTTTTTAAAATTATATTTTCTGTTTGTTCCTCAGACTAGATAACTTTAAATGGCTTGTTTTAAAGTTTGCTTATACTTTTGCTTGATCTAGTCAACCGTTGAACCTTTTTAGGAAATTTTTTATCACAGTTATTGGACTCTTCATTTCCAATTTTTTGTTTGATTTTTAAAACAATATATATTTTCTATCTTTTTGTTGAAATACTCCTTTTTTATGTATTGTTTCCTTAAACTTGTTGAGCATTTTTATGATGGTTATTTTGAACTCTTTGTTAGGTAATTCATATACCTCTGTTTCTTTAGCATGGCTTTCTGAAGATTTACTTATATTTGTTTGCTCCATATTTTCCTGTTTCTTTGTGCTTGACATTTTGTGTTGGTGTCTAAACATTTGAAAAAACAGCCACTTCTTCCAATGTTTATAGATTGGCTTCCTACAGGAGACCATCTCCACCAGTCAACCCAGCTAAAGATTTTAGGGATCTCTCAAACTTTTTTTGTGGATGTGACTTCTCTAGATGTGTGCATGTAAATTTCTATTTAAAGGGGTTCTCCAGCTTCTGTTTCAGGAGTTTATTATATCTTGCTTCCTCTGATGTCTGTTTACTGTACTGTATGTCCTCTGGAGCAGCAACACACCATCCAACTATTTTTATTTTTTGTTCACAGTATGCTGTGTTCCATCAGTGCTCCAAGACAGGAGAGACAGAAATCAGTCCTCAGGCAGCTCCCAAAAATGTCTGAATGTTAGATCTATGTTTAGTCTTCTCTTTCTCTCTCTAGGCAGAAGCTGTATGCTATGGATTTTTCTGATCATTTCATGCTGAGCTCAGGGGAGGGACTCTAAAGTGAGTGCATACAAGTCCAAACTGTTACCATTGTTGTCAACTGCCCCCAGGCATGCTGAGTGTGCTGAGTCCCTACAGTGTTCCTTTGCGAGAAGAAGAAGAGTGAAAAGATGAAGGTTGGAAGTCTGAACAGGCTCATGTCAGATGAGTCTTCCTTTATAATGGCAATTCCTTCTTAAATTGCATTGGCCATGGATAGGAACATAGCTAGCCTCAATTGTGTTAGTCTGGAGGTGCAGCATTTTTAACATAGCACATTTCCCCCCACCCCCTGCAAGATTAGGATTTTATCAAGAAGAGAGAACGGATTCTAGGTGAGCAATCAGCCAAGATTTATCAGAGCTTTATATTTCTCAGCAAAGCACTTAGTTTTGCTGAGATTCAGTTTCTTCATACTTGAAATGGGAAAAATAAAGTGTCTCATGGGGTTGTTGTGAGGACATAAGGCATGTATGTAAAGCAATCAGCACAATGCCTAACATATAATAAGCATTCAAGAAATTTCAGCTATTACATATTAAAATGCTTATAAACATAATAATCTATCATATGATTGTACCTCAATTTCATTGGCAACGCTAATTGAATTTTTGGTTATTGTAAATTTCTTATAAATAATAATAAATACTTGTATTTTTATTTAAGCTTATGCTGCTGGGAATAATTCGTGTGTATATTTTTCTTCAGTTTGTGTTATATTCTTAAAAATTCATAGGAATTAAAGTAATGGATCAAGGTGCTTCAACATTTTAAAAATACTCAATTCATCTTGATGGCTTGCTCTTCAAAATGCACTTTTTACACAATTCATTTCCACAGCAGTTCCCATTTCTTCATTCTAAACTTTACCTCATTGAGTATAGTCATTAGAAATGAAATTGCTAATATGATGGGTGATATGGAAGACTATTACCTACTCATCAAAGCCCAGACTCTCTTCTTCTTCATGGGAATACTGCTTATGTATATTCCTCATCTGCCCTTGCAGATAGGTATGTTCGTGTCACTGAGTTTTAGTCAGTAGAATATGAGTAGACATGATGTACACCATTTCCAGGTTCCCAAAATTCTCTCACATATATCTCTCCATATTCTTCTTCTCTTTTGGCTAGCTTGGATGGGAACAATGATGATGACTTTGGAAACTGCATCTTGAACAAGGCAAACGTCCTTCAGCTGGTCCCTGGTCCCCTGAGGTCTCCTTCACCTGAATCCTGCTTCTCTGCCTTTTCATGAAAGAATATTATATGAGCAAGAAATAAACTTCTATTGAATTAGCTTCTAATTTGAGGCCCATAGATCTCCAAGGGGTCTGTAGATTGAATTCAAGGGGTCTGTGAACTTGGAATGGGAAAAATATGATTTTTACTAATGTCTTTCTTACCTCAATTTAGCATTTTCTTTTGTTATGAGTATAAACAACAAACCAGTCGCATTAGCAGTACCTATGAAAAGTATTTTTGTATCACATTACAATTGTAACAAATATCTGAAATTTAATTCATACTCATCAAGATTTTAAAAATATAGTAGTAATGAACCTGCTGGTATATTTTATTTGATGTTTTAATAAATAAGCATCTTTATTATTATATCATAAATTATTTTAATACTTTAGCACTGCATTTCAATGTAATTAGTTTCTTTTGAAACTTTAAAAATTTTCTTTCATGTATTTAAAAACACTATTTTGATGATGTGTACACATGGGCATAGAGAGTAAAATAATAAAGGTTGGAGACTCAGAAAAGTGGGAGAGTGGCAGGGGGATGATGGATGAGAAATTACCAGGTACAATGTATATTATTTGGGTTATATTACACTAAAAACCCAGGCTTTACCACCACACAATATATCCATGTAACAAAACTGCACTTGTACCCCTTAAATCTATAAAAATAAAAAATATATAAAATACAAAGAAATAAAAAATTATTTTGAGAAGGGATTCTAAGCTTCACCAGACTGCTAACATGGCCCTGGTATAAAAAGTTTACAAATGCTTGTTTCTATTATATTTGAGCCATTTTACAATTTGGGATATTTTTGTTATATCTTTTAACATCACCCTAATTTATAGAAGTAATGAATGTTATTGCTGGGGATTTGAGTGTTGGTCATTACATATACATGAATTTATACACAAATCCTGCGAGGATATAATATTTATTGCAAATGTTTTTACCAGTCATTCTTTGTCGTAATTTGTATAAGACAAATTAAGTTTGATGTATAATATTCAACTGTGTTGATATGGTCAAATCTATGAATCTCACTTATGTGATTTTCATATTGCTTTCCCACTTAAAAAATTCTTTCCCAACCAAAAATCAGTTGCAAGGTGTTAAAACCATTCACCTAGGTGTCATTGTGCAGCTGCACACGACTTGGGCAACCATATCTAGCATTCCCAATTTGTTAAATACTTACCTATACATTTTATTTGCATTTAATTATTTCATCTACTTGGAATATATTTCAATCCCTGTTGTGAGATGAATAAAAATGATGGATATTCTTTCTAACACCATTTTTTGAATAATTTAACTCTTACACCTCTATTTCTTTTGGGGCATATAAAAGTTTTTTAATATATTTGGGACTGCTTTTGAACTGTTCCATGATGTGTACTAGTACCACATTTTTAAAGTTATTGTTAATCTTATAATATTGTTTAATATATGACATGGTAAGTTTCCTTTCATTAGTACCAATTTTTGGTGTCTTTGATAGTCATAAAAAAAGTATTATTCCAAAAAATTGCAGAACGTGCTCTTGGCAGAATGGAACTTTGTTTGACAGTTGCAGGAAAAACCTGTATTTCCAAACAAAGAATGACTGCAAGATTTCTCTGTATATTTGGCCCCAAAGAAAATATTTTATGTTTCACCCACAAATTTATGAGTGACTTCACTTCAGCTTTCTCACTTAGGCGTTATGTGTGGTGAGAAGAGCTCTGGAAAAAAAGTCAGAAATCCTCAACTTGAAACCAACTTTAATTCTTTGCAGGTGTCTAACCTGAGACTGGTTGCTTATTGTCTTAGAGTTTTTGTTTCCTTAAGGGTAAAATATGAGTATAATTTCTATTCTACCTTTCACACAGGGCTGCTGTAAAGAATGAGATAATATATTTGAAATCTCTTTTAAAACTACTTAGCATTATAGGTAACAAATTAACATTTAATTAAAAAGTTACTGTTGTACTTGAGCCAGAGATGTATTTACTCTTGTCTACATCCACATTGCCACATTCTGTAGAGCAGAACTTGATTTAAAACAGATGTGTCTTGGATATTATCCAAGAAGGTGTAGTTTTACTGGAGAAGCCAAAAAGATCTCATTATAAGTTAGTCTCATGACATGGACTCTGAGGATGGTATTAGACACTGGTTACAATTTATGTACCTTCCAGTGTGCGAATGGGATAAATGGGGAACAAAATTAATAACCTGGTCTGATATGACCCAAAGTTAAAACTAGGGGATGAAAGCTAGGAGGATGTTATACAAAGAAAATAAGAGCCTGGTTTTAGTTGTATAAAAGAAGAATCTTTGGAACAGGAATTAAGATTCTAAATGGTTAAGAGTTGTCAAATTTATATATGTCAAATCCATATTTGCAAAGAGTTTTAGTATAAGGTAGAACACAGTTGTTTTATATATATATATATATGTGTATATATATATATGTGTGTATATATATATATATGTATATATATATGTGTGTGTGTATATATATATATGTATATATATATATATATATGGTAACATTTAATGAAAAGTTACATTTTATTTCCTTGCAAAACAAACACATTCCTGGAAGACAGTGTATAGCACACTATGCCTTCTAAAATTATGTGTACAAATTGTGATTGATATGTTTCTACTCTGAAATTACCATTATGTGTGTATAGTATAGATAGTATAGTCTGTGCTGCTGTTCTGGAGAGAATTACTGCAAGCATCAGCAGGAGGAGTGCATTTTCTTACAAAACGCCCAGTACTATAAATGTGTTTACCTAAACAAAGTGTATTTTTTTTAAACAGACTCCATGTTCAGTCTTCTGTTGTTCTTTTGAAAATAAGTAATGTCTTTACCACTTAGCTGGGAAAGTGGTGAAGGAACTAGTATTTTATGGACTCTAACTACGTGTCGCCCACACGCAGCAGTATGTTACAATCATAGCATGAAATGCTTCTATTCATAATAGCTTTGCAAGTTGATTTATAAGTTTACCATTGTTAACTTGATAAGGCAGAAAAAGTATCCATAGTGTGTGGCCTCTAGAATCTTCAAAACTGGGTTTGGAAGCTAATTCTGGTTCTTAGGCACCATAAAAATTACTTGACTTCTTTAAGTTTAAGGTTGATTTTTTTCATTTCATTAAAATAGGTGTAATACCACCATTACTAATAGGAGTAATTATGATATCAATGTATTATAACAACATATTAATAGTAGTAGGTAATAATAATAGTAGTGTGAAGTAAGATAATACATGCAAGGAGTTTATTTATTGCTTTTTTTTTTTTTGAGATGGAGTTTCACTGTGTCACCCAGGATGGAGAGGAGTGGCACAATCTTGGCTCACTGCAACCTCTGCCTCCTGGGTTCAAGTGATTCTCTGGCCTCAGCCTCTCCAGTAGCTGGGATTACAGGCACGTGCCACCACACCCAGCTAATTTTTGAATTTCTAGTAGAGACGGGGTTTCATCATGTTGGCCAGGCTGGTCTCAAAGTCCTGACCTCAGGTGATCCACCTGCCTCATCTTCCCAAAGTGCTGGGATTACAGGTGTTAGCCACTGTACCTGGCCATAACTGTTCATAATTATTATTAAGACTCCAAAACTTCTCTTGGTGACAACAAAATTTTCCCACTAAAATGACTTTTCACAAATATTTTTTCTTACTAAAATTTCTGCTACAACTATTAAATTTCTAATTGATTCTGATTACTAACTGAATCTATTTAATGTGTACAGCATCATAAACAGATAGGAATTCAGTCCTGCTTCATGTTAAATTTCTAAATTGCTATCTTAATGCCATGGACTGAGTGAAACTGGCTAACTCAACTGTCTTCCAGAAAAAAAAAACAAACAAAAAATTCTTCTTAGCCTGACTGATTTAACATTAAAAAAAAAAACTATTTTAAAATAATACATACATGCAGCATGAAGTGAACAGCTAGAGTTTAATATATTTGCAAAAATAATTGAATTGTAGCTCTTTAATTTCTCCAACAAAAAATTTCTCAAAGCATTGTAATTGTTAAAGAGAAGACTAAAATTCTTTCAAATTCAATCCACTGGCTTCCAACTCACTGGGAGAAAGACTGACATTTTGGAATGGCCCACAAGGTACCAAAAAATCTGCCTCCCTTGGTGTTTTTCCTGCAACATTCACACCTTTACCTCTAACACCTTGCTTTCTCCTATCAGCACTAATTCTAGCTACACTAGTTTTTTCACCAAGACCAGAAGCCTCCTGTCTGCATCTGTCTTTTCCTGTGCCTATTCCAGGATCTTCTCTGAGATATCCTGATGACTTCCTTGCTCACTCCATTTGGAAATTTACTTAAATGTGACTATTTTGGCAAGGTCTATTTTGCTCCTCCACATAACTAACTTCCCCTTTTTCCAATGCCCTCTGTCTCCCTTGCCTATTTAATTTTCCTCTACAATACTTATCAACTATCTTATATACTTTGTATTTTACTCATTTATTTTCTTTATTATCTGTGTCCTCTGTAACAGAATATAAGCTGTATGATAGCAAAGATTTCCATTTTGTTCATAGCTCTATCTCCAGTGCCTAGAATAGTTCCTGGGACATAATAGACACTTGTGAAATCTTGACCAAATGAATACTTTCTTTCTTCACCTTTTAATTGGTGACTCCAAATATGAAAAATAAATGGACATGTACCTCTTTGGGATGGTAGACACTTAGATGTCTACTGTCAGTCCAAGAACAAGAAAGAACTCTAGGAGCTTAATTTATTTAAGAGGACATTCATACATAATGTTATACAACTGGAGGGAATGAAAAATGTGAAAAATGTAATGCTGATAGGAGAGACTGAGCTTAGGGGTACTGGAATCTTCAAGTGCAATGGAGACAACTAATTGAGTCATACAATAAATTATCGAAAGAAGTACGTAATAGAGATCTTCTATACCAAAATAAAATAGTGTTAAACTATGGAATAAGATATGTTAAAACTGTAAGTAAAACAGGTATTGATGCATGTTTGTCTTGATTGTTATGTTGCATTATTTGGAATGAATTTTTTTTTAATTTTGTGGCCCTTACTACTGGTGTGACAATTTCTAGTTGCATATCCAACAAAATTACCACTACTAGATTTTTGCAGATCTGCTAGCAATATTTGTTTATTTTGTCTTACATCTGCGTGATTTTTTAAAGCTCTATCCCAATGCCATACAGCACGACCAGATTGATAGGTCAATCCCTTCTTTAACTTTGAGAATGCTACTAGACATCGTTTTCAATCCTGATAATTGGTACAAACAGTACTGTGGACAAAGGAAAAGTGAAATGGAATTTGCTCAATTGTTGTGAAGCATGCAACATAGCATCTTATTAATGCGATAAAAGCCTAATAAAAGCCTCGGCACCCATCAGCTGGGCTGTAATGAGCACAGAAAAATTTCTTCTATAAAACAAGGATAAGGCTTATCTTTACTAACCAGTAAAAAAATACTGGAAAAGATGATGTTAAAGTGATCTATGAACTTCTTGGATTATGAAGCCTTTCATCTCATGTAAAAAGCATGTGAGTAGCTCTTTGGAATAGTGAGGGGCAGAGCTTGTAACATCATCTCTCAGAGAAGTAAAGCTGTTTGCTTCTCATACAGACTTGTGATGACAGAGACTTGCATTTTGTTGCTTTTATTATTTCGTCAATGTTGACTGTCTTTTTCATGGAAACAATTGCTAAAAATATTCCGTTTCATCATTTAGATTCTTATGACTTGCTGAGAATGCTTTTCAGAAGGATGTTTAAATCATTAATTACAATAAACATTGGCTTTGTAACCTTATCTAAGAACTACAACTCCAATATTTCCAAATGTTATTTTTAATAACACAGATTGTCTAAAAGCATAGTTAATCAAATTCAAAGAGTTGTCTCACATTCGTGCCTCTCATCTACCTCATTCCATGACAGCAGAAAGAAATTGACTTTTTATTTAAAATTTCTTGGTTTTCTAAGTCATTACTTTCATTAAATTGCCTTCATAATATAAGACTAACAGCTTTTTGATAAACAGAGGTCAAAAACATGACTTTTATTTTTAAAAAATTAATATATATCCTAATTTTGGCTGCATTTGAAGAAAGCACAAACACAAAATAACTCGCGGGTATCCTGGCCAATATGTTTCAACTGCAACTTAACTTTCTTTTTATGTACACAACTGGAAACAAGTAGGTGAAATTTTTTAAAAAGCCAAAGAATGAGAGCCAATGGTCTCTCCCTTGGTATATCTGCTCAATGTGCAAAGGGATCAGAATTTATTCATGGGAAACTGCTGTCTCATTTTTCTCTGGTGTCATAAGATATCCTTGCTTGTAAGGACATTCTAGAAACCTGTAGATAATCTTATTTGAAGCTTTCTAGTCTACAATCAAGTTCCAAGAATCAGTGTCCATATTTACTGTGTCATTTGTCTACAGGTTTTTATGTAGACAATACAGGAAATTTACAATACAGGAAAGCCCATTGCTTTCTTATGGTCATATACTACTTTTAATTTTTCAAAGTGCTTTCAAAACAAAAGTGAAAAATAAGTGTATTCCCTGTGAGGGTGACATTGCCATATATGTCCAGCTTAGATATTAAGAATGTTAACGTAAAAAATAATGCCAAATAATTTTTAAGTGTTCAAAATTTGTTGAACATTATCAGGTAAACATGACATAATTGGTGAATCGTATTTTCATGTGAGGCTCAGCCACTTATAACATAAGTATCACTATCCATGAATGTGCCATGAGGCTTCTCAGCCACTTATTCAAATGCAACTTAAAGGGAAATGGAAACCTTCTACTCAAATATTTAGATTCTAAAGGAAAATGTATTTCTAGATTTAAATGATTTTTCCATTTTTATTTATTTCTTCTATTTCTTTGTAATATAATTGTTCTTACCAAGTATTTATCAACAAGTTATGCCTTTTATTAAAAAAATTCTTAAATTTTTATTTTAACTGGTCGACAATCATCTACCTGATGAAGAATACTGTAAATGGAATAATGCAATAACTCCCATAAATATGTATCTTGTTTATCTTAGTGATATACAAAATATTTTCTAAAGCTGTATCTACAAAGTCAACATGAACAGAGGTGAAACATGGGAATAATTCATGACATGATATGTCAATATATTTAAATAAATTTATTTCTTGTGTGATTTTTCTCTCACTTGTGAAGACATAAACAAGTAAAGTGCTTGATGGTCTAATATAATTTATCATAAAAATTAATTCTGTGTGAATACAATGAAATTTCTTGTTAAATTACCTTTGCTGAGATATTAAGGTTTTGTTTTGCCTTATCAGGTCATTTGCCTTTACAGAATTATTTTTGGGCTTTTTAGATCAGTTTATAAAACTGAAGAATACAATTATAAAATGACATGTTTAAGGCCATGGATAAGAACAGTAAATTATTATCAATAATTATTATAATAGCTACTTCTTATATTTGGATTTATATAGTATGCATCTTCATCTAACTACTAGATAAATTTAATGCTAATTCCATGCAGATGGACCACATAATCCAATCTCATATTTTGCTAAAAACACCCAGATGTTCAATGTATTTTTTAGGTTCTGCCTGGGTTCAGTCACTGTATATCATCTATTTTCCCAATGGACCATAAGTCTCAACCTTATCCTGTCTCCATCACACCTAAGGACTTTGACTTATTTTTATCAGAGATAATAACTTACTATAGTAGTATTTCTGGGTAGGGTGAGAGGAAAGAGAAAAATAAAAACTAAAAAAAGAGGTGATCTGAGAAAAAAAGAGAAAAGTGTGAATAATTTAAAATATCTACCACCACACAAAATGATCTGATGAAACTTGCTTTCTACCCGTGAATTCACTCCTGTCATATTCTCTAAGATAAATCCCAAAGTAAGACAAGAAGGTGTTTGAAGTGGCTTGGATTAATGCTCTGGCACTCGATGCCAGCTTCCTCATGAAGCTACCCTAGAAGCAGTTTAAGGAGGCATATTTTTAAAAGAAGTATTCCTCTATCTTATTTCCAAGTCCTACTGTCTACCTTGGACTCTATTTCATTTAGCTGTGTTTGGGCCTGGTTATGGGGTCACTTTCTCAGCAGGCCTTCATCTCCCCAACACTGGGGCTCTGCCATGTTCTTGCTTACCTTCTCCCTAGGGCTGTATTGTTTATTCAGGTTTATTGTAGCATAAATGTAGCATTTTAAAGCTGAAAAACCATTAAAGAATCATTAAATTCAATATCCTCCTTTCAGGAGTGTGGAAACCAGAGGTAAAATCAGAGGTCAAATTTTCCCAATTAAGCACTAAAGGCGTGGCTTGAGTATTGCACATCTTGCAATACTTTTCTTTTCCTTCTCACCGTGACTACTACTAGTATTACTAGTGTATTTTGTACAAAGTAAGTTCTTCCTCACCTAACATATATTTCCTCCCTTCTCAATTATACTTTCTTTCTGTGTGTATCTTGTGTCTTGTCCCACCAGCAGAAAGATATCTTTCTTGAACAAAATGCAAGTCTGTAGCTGCATTCAGGTACAGGTGGTCTGCATTCAGACCTCCATTTGTTGGAGAGAAACTTCTCATTCTTTCTCAATTCAGAGAACCTAGGATGTATCTGGCGTTCTTTGAGCAGATAGAAAACAATGTCATTTCTCCCACTGAAATGCAGAATTAAGAAAATGGTTTTGAAACCTGTTCCCATCTCTAACTTTTCTATCGCCTGGCCTTTTCCTTATGCATCTGCTGCCACTATCAGAATCAGTCACACCTGCTTTAGAAATGGCCCAGCTGTGAAAGTCTGGGGCTTGAAATATTTTCTTCCATGGAAACAATGTGAGATACGTTGAAACAGTACTATTATTACCATTACTTAAGTACATTATGCATTAAATAGGCATTCTTTTTCATTCTGTCTCAAGAACATAACCAGCAGATACATATAATTTCAATGAAAAACAATGTTCTCAGATCCAAATAATCAATTTCAAAATTAATATTTTTACTCTTGTAATCCACTAAAAAGTCCACAACTACTAGAACTTACCAGTTTATAGTAGACTGCATTTCTTGTTGTGATGTTTTGAATGGTGTTTCAATATAACTGCATTTCTTCCTTTTGAATTGTCTTTTATAGCATTGACAGTCAAGAGTTTATATATAAACATGAGTAAGAAGTAACAATTCATTATCAAATGTCTGTTAAAGCTCTTTCTTCTTTCTTGATGGATTAGAAAAAAAAACATAATGTTAGAGCAAAAGATAGTTAGATGGTCAAGGTTCTGAACAAAATTGGCCAGGGACTGCCTGTTTGACCTTAGGTTGGGTATTGCAGCATTCTGTAGGTCAAATTCCACATCTACCAAATACCCTCAGCCCTTGCTTGTAAAATACAGTAAAGTCCTTGAGAAACTCTATTATGTGTTACTGTGCAAAGTAGGCTTATCACTGAGAAGAATACATTAAAGGGCTCATCTTCCACCTTTTGTGCTCATAAAATCAACCCATGTTTCTGGAAATGCATGCATTGTCAGGGCTATAAAAAAAGGATGCATTTAATACAGCAAAGTGTTTTACTAACTAAATGTTGTGTGCCATGGTTCAGTTGTAACCACCCAAGGGGTTCACCTTGCCTGCTGCCTAGACAGAGCTGATTCATCAAGACAAGGGAATTGCAATAGAGGAAGAGTAATTCACACAGAGCTGGCTGTGTGGGAGACTGGAGGTTTATGATTACTCAAATCAGTCTCCTTGAGCATTCAGGGAGCAGAATTTTTAAGGATAACTTGGTGGGTGGGGGGAAGCCAGTGAGCCAGGAGTGTTGATTGGTCAGAGATGAAATCAGAAGGAGCAGGAGCTGGAGCTGTCTTCCTGTATGCAGTCAGTTCCTGGGTGGGGGCCTCAAGATCAGATGAGCCAGTTTATTGATCTGGGTGGGGCCAGCTGATCCATCAAGTGCAGGGTCTGCAAAATATCTCAAGCACTGATCTTAGGAGCAGTTTAGGGAAGGTCAGAATCTTGTAGCCTCCAGCTGCATGACTCCTAAACCATAATTTCTACTCTTGTGGCTAATGTTAGTCCTACAAAGGCAATCTAGTCCTCAGGCAAAAAGGAGGTCTGCTTTGGGAAAGGGGTTTTACTGTCTTTGTTTAAACTGTAAACTAAGTTTCTCCCAAAGTTAGTTCAGCCTTCCCCCAGAAATGAACAAAGACAGCTTGGAGGTTGGAAGCAAGATGGAGTCAGTTAATTTAGCTCTCTTTCACTATCTCAATCATAATTTTGCAAAGGCAGTTACAATCCCTCCCTTTGGGTTTTATAACACCTTCATCTTAAGGTGTAGGCTATGAAGATGGGAAAAGGCCATCAATCAATCTGGCTTCTTCCTGCTAACAGGAGACATAGTGGGAATGGGAGTTAACCCCGAGATGACAAGAGTGGAACTGCTTTGCACTGATCTGGGTGTAATCATGCAGGCCCGGATGGGATTTCAAGGCTTGCATGGCAAAAATATTAGTACTCTCATCTATAGATTTACTACAGTGTTTAAGTGAACAGCCTACTATAAGGCAAATAACAAGCCCTAGGATGAGGAGTACAATTCCCAATTTTAAAAGCAAAGATTTAAAAACATTAGTTTGGGGACTTCTAACCAACAAAGAATTTAGGATTTAGTCTAAACTACAGAAAAAAACCTCAAGAACAGCTAATAACAGTGTACTATAGTTTTTCTTTTGAAGCATAATTTTTCTCTCCCTAGTCCCCATTTTAATTAAAAACAAATCATGATAGAACTGATTTGTTTACAAAATAAACTCTAGTCTTACAGTACTTGGCATGATTATTTGCTTAAAGTGCAGCAAGAATAATTATTTTTCACTTAGGCTTTTTAAATTGGCTTTGATAGAACTCTGTTACATGAGGAATCTCAGATAAGACTTTTTAAAAGCTGAGCCCAGGTTGGGCACAGCAGCTTACACCTATAAACCCAGCACTTTGGGAGGCCAAGGTGGATGGATCTCCTGAGGTCAGGAGTTCAAAACCAGCCTGGTCAACATGGTGAAACCTGGTCTGTACTAAAAATACAAAGAAAAAAAAATTAGCCAGATGTGGCAGCGGGTGCCTATAATCCTAGCTACTCAGGAGGCTGAGGCAGGAGAATTGCTTGAACCTGGGAGGCAGAGGTTGAAGTGAGTCAAGGTGATGCCATTGCACACCAGCCTGGGCAATGAGAGTGAAACTCCATCTCAAAAAAAAAAAAAAAAACCCGAGCCCAGCCATGGGTTTGTACCCTCAACACCTATGAGTTTGGCAAATTCCTCTCCTCTTAGGGCCCAAGAGAGCTTGGGGTTCCTGGGCCTGTTAGAAAGTGACATTCTTTACTTACCACAGGTCGGGAAACTTGTACAAGGACTCTGTGTGGACAAGGTATGAGACCAGATTCCCCAACAGGGCTTAATTGGCTGTATAAGTCAAGCTTGAATTTTTTAAAGGAATCATGCCATTCCAGTCAAAGCCTGGGTAAAATAATCAGTTTCTCCAATTTTGTCCTGTTACAAAAGAAAACAGATTCTTATTGCACTTATGCAATTAACTATACCACCATAAATTGAAAATATTCACAAACAGTTTCCAAATTCTGGAGAAATCAGGCAGAGAGGAACAAATATGCTCCAAATTTTGTTCACAGGAGTTGCAAAAAGCTCTAAAATATAAGTTATCTTGACTCTGATAACAAAAGGTTTACCAATGTTTAACACATTTGCTCTCCAGGAGAGTCCTAGAAGTTTGATTTTTTTCCTCTATTCCAATAGCACAGTTTTAAAAGTTATCTGAAACCTGCACTTACAGTCCTATATCTGATTATAAACTGCCTTTTGAAAAGGACCAAAGCAAGACAAAGCAAGAGAAACGTCTGTGAATGACAAAAGTCTACAGCCACTATTAAAGCTACAATTGACTAGGAATTTTGGTTACTTCTGTGGCATACAACAATTTTATGTAACAATTATAATTATTAAGAATGGACACTAAGTTTCCCATAATTTTGGAACACACACTAATAAGATATTTATACAAATACAGTCCAAAGTAAACCAAAGACCATTCACTTTTCTATTCAAAAATTTTTTCTCTATTCTAATGTCACAATCTCCAGTGTTATTAATCAGAATCCTGCATTTAAGAGCACCTGTTACATTTTATAGGTGATTATAAAACCATCTTTTAAAGAGGACCAAAATGAGATAACAGGTGTCTATGGACAACAACATTTTAGGGCAGCCACAGGTAAAGGCAAGATTGTAAAGGAAATTTGTTACCTCTGTGGCACAGTCTGTTAAACAATAATTGTAATTATTACTGATAACATACACTAAGTGATATTAGAATTATAGGAGTTTTACATAATTTTGGAACATACACCAATAACACATTTACACAAATATAGGCAAAAGAAAGCAAAACACCATTTCATATTTGACAATGCTTCCTGTATGATTTTTGCACCAAATAAGCCAAATGTCATTTTTGGACTTCAGAGGACCTAATATCTAAAATATTAGGTAAGAAAGAGACATAATTTCTGATTTGATTTTGGAAAGTTTGTCAAATATCAAAGGTTTAAAACATTGGATATCACAAAATAGAATCCCAGGTCACCATAAGTCATTCATTTGGCCAAAATAACTGCAAAATTTTTTTTAAAAAGAAAAACCTTTACTCTGATAGAGGAGACTTAGCTTTCCAAACGAGACCCTGCGAAGATAGCATAAGACCAAATGAATCTGTCTCTTCTCTCTCTCCTATTTTTTCCTGCCATTTACTCATAGGAGAAAACAAAACACTTTCATTTTCTTTTAACAGTACATAAAAATCATATTCACAAGAGAAAACCAAATTTAATGTTGCATTAGTACATCTTTAATGTTAAAGCTAGTTTTTTAATATAAAATTTTATATCTCTATCGAGTTTTAATTAGTTTGACCATAAGGTATGATTTTCACAAACCTTTTAGAACCCTTTACAATTTTCCATCAAACAGCAGATCAACTTTGTAAGAAAACCCTGTTATTCAAACACAGGGGCCCAGATTCTAGCCCCACATCAGTATGATTTTAATGTTTTTTTTTTTTTTTTGAGATGGAGTCTCACTCTGTCACCCAGGCTGGAGTGCAATGGCAAAATCTTGACTCACTGCAACCTCCGCCTCCAAGGTTCAAGCAATTCTTCTTTCTCAGCCTCCTGAGTAGCTGAGATTAAAGGTGTGTGCCACCATGCCCAACTACATTTTGTACTTTTAGTAGAGATGGAGTTTCACCGTATTGGCCAGGCTGGTCTTGAACTCCTGACCTTCTGATCCACCTCCCTTGGCTTCCCAAAGTGCTAGGATTACAGGTGTGAGCCACCCTGCCCAGCCAATTTCTTTTAAATCTTAGCCAACTTGTTTATGCCCACAGAATTTTTACAATATCAACCCTTTACAAACCCTTTTCACTTTGCTAAACCTTCAGTTTTGTTCTGTTAACTCTTTCACGTTAAGACAATCTTTAAATCCCTCTGAAATAGACAAAATTACATTCCCTTTAACAAAAGCCACATTCCCGTGCCTTCTTATAATCTTTTACCAAAAACACATTCCCTACACACATTGTATGTAAAACTGCTTCTCAGGTGGTCTCAACTAGATGTTACAATGTTAACTCTTAGCAACTTTTATTTTTAGTGAAAAACCTGATAAGTAAGCAATTTATATGTACTAGCGGTGGAGCCTAGGACATCAGACAGAAATGAAGATAAGGTCTGACTCCTTTTAACATAGCTAGCAGGCATGGGTCTCCATATGTCCCTAGGCCTTATCTATAATCTAATGCTCCAAAGTAGGTAAATCGAATAATTTTCAAAAGTCAAAGACACAGTTTGACCTTAATGCATTTAGCAAATCTGATATCTGACCTTAATTTAGACCAAATGTCTACATTTTCAAAACATTTTATTTTATCAATAATCTTTAAAACTGTCTTTATATCCAAAAGATTCCTAAAGGCATGTGAACAAAAAGGCATTAAAGTTTCCATTTTTCTGACAAAATATTTGATTTAAGCGCTTATTTTCCTAAGCCAATTAATCAGAACTCTTTTATATAGAAACAAAAAACACACATAAATACACAGACAGAAAGACAGAAGATTCAGCACTTGTAAGATTTTTTATTTGCCAGTTTCTTTTTTTTCTTTTCTTTTCTTTTCTTTTCTTTTTTTTTTTTTTTTTTTTGAGACAGAGTCTTTCTCTGTCGCCCAGGCTGGAGTGCAGCAGCGCAATGTCGGCTCACTACAAGCTCCGCCTCCCACGTTCAGGCTATTCTCTTGCCTCAGCCTCCTGAGTAGCTGGGACTACAAGCGCCTGCCACCACGCCTGGCTAATTTTTTGTATTTTTTGTATTTTTAGTAGAAACGGGGTTTCACCGTGTTAGCCAGGATGGTATAGATCTCCTGACCTCGTGATCCGCCCGCCTCTGCCTCCCAAAGTGCTGGGATTACAGGCATAAGCCACCACGCCAGTTTCTTAATTGAATTACTGGCTTCAGGGAGGAGGAACAGGGCCAGGAAAGCATGCATTTCTAGGGCCAAATAAGCAGCAAATTAGCAGCTGAAGGCAAAGACAGATCCCCAAAATTAAGTGTGCCATTTTATACTGGATCCCGGATCCACAAAAGGAGGGAAATACTACGGGAGAAGACAGTGCAGTGCTCCTACCCTGCATTTCATTGCAAGACAACCCAAAGCCAATCAGCCCATTTTGTAATCAGCCCATTTCTCATGGAAGTCTTATCTCCCAGTGCGGGCTGGAGATGTTTCCTTATTTTCCAGGTGAACAAAAGCATGCTTCTCTGATCCAAGTGTGCAAAGATTCAAATATAACTACTATTAGCCATCCCTTAAAGTATATTTCCCACCTAGTTATTACACAGCAAAGCTCTCTCATAATGTGAAGTAATTTTTGATGCCCTCAAAACTCAAAACTGTCAGATAATAGAATGTAAAACAGAGAGAGATCCGTCCGCTTTTAGTTCCTGGGGTTTCATGAGGAAAACAGAGGGTTTTTTTCCCAAAATGGGGTCTGTGGCGCCCCCTTTGCTTTTCCCAATAAGTCCCAGGCTACCAGAAGTTATCTTAGAGCCTCTCATGTGTGCATTAAGAGTGGCAAGACAAAAAACTGGAGAAAAATAATTCAGTAGACTGAGAAGAAAAAAACTTTTTCCAGAAAAACAGGTTCCAAGAAGACAAAAACATAAAGGCCTTTTAAATACATCTATAGTTTATTCAATTTTAATTAAGCTGACTTTTAACCATAGTACTCTTTAAAAAAGAAATCCTTTCAAATCTCTTATTACCTGACTTTAGCCATGCCAAGCCAATATATCTAGCCTCTGAAATTTACCAAAGGTAACTTCCTAGGTGCTTCAAATACATGGCAAGCAGTTTCTTTTTTTACAAGATTTAGAATCTGCACAAGGTAGTTCTGAGAAAGGAAAATTCAAGAGAGGAAATCAGAAGCTATCTATGAGGGGAAAAAAAAAACCTCAATAAATGGCAAAGTTACACAATTAACAAACCAGAAAGCAATCATTCCAGAAGCCAACTATTGAACCCAGGCCACCACTGTCGAAAGATAAAGCCTTAGCTGCTGAGCTCTACAGCATTGAGCAGTTTCTATTGCTTTTCCTAGAAGAGCCTAGAGAAGCCAATTTCTAGCTTGCAAGGCTTTTAACTGCTCAAGAAAAATTTTTAGGGCTAACTATGACATGAACTCCCAAATTCCTGTCCTCTGGGTGGTGGAAACCAAAAGAATGTATCCCCACATGGTCATAAGGTTAAGCTCTTAAAACACAAAACAAGACAGAGAAATTTTATAAATACAGTATTTGTTTCAGGGACCCATAGCAAAGTTTGTAACTGACCAACTTGCCAAACTGACTTGAAAAGCAGGATTATAGGGGCCCTATACCCACATTCTATCCTGTGATACCTCTCTCTCCATTACAGAACACAGAAAGACAGATTCTTAGCACAAAGTACACCAGATTTCCTACAGCCTAAGACTAGTCTCACAAATCCTTCTTTCTGTTAATCAAACCCTTGCAGAGGTGACAAATAGTTTACTGTTTATCCAGACAGAGAAAGAGAGAGAGAGAGAGACCAGAAACTTGGCTGGGAAGAATTTCTTACCCTTTTTGCTGGCATACCAGGTTTCTGGGTTCCCTTTCTCTGCAGCTTCCAGAAGAACAGAGCAGCTTCTGATGACCCTGCTTACTTGTGCTATAGCTGTGGAGCTCAAGGCACTTTACAAGAGAAAATTCCTTTTATTGCTCATGGAGCCATAGATAAGATTCTCAGTTTGCAAGATGCTGCCCAACAGGCTGCTTGGGGAACCAAATTAACATTTTCCATCCCAGCAAAATACAAATAACAAAACAGACATTAGTCACCTCATTCAGCACCCAGTATCAGCCTGGCAAAGCTCAAACGCTTTCCCTTTGGTCCCTGTTGTCTTTGATACACTCCAGGTGGTGATGGACGACCTCTGAATGGTAATTCACAATAGGGTTTCTGGGCAAGGGGAAGAGCAGATAGTCACCCTGACAGACAGGCCTGTTGAGCCTTCTTTAGATCTCATCGAGTGTGACCACACAAATAAGGAGGGTTCTCTGAGTTAGTTCTGCTAGATTTCCATCAGCAGCCCCTCTGAGATCCCTTCCACATATACAGACACATACAAAGATGAGATGGACAGAAGGCCTTCCAAATCAGATCCCTAACCAAGAACTCCAAGAGTATCCCTTCAAAACTATCCTCTTATTCTCTGTCTGAGAAACTTCTCAAAAACTTCCTGATTGAGGAGAAATTTCCCAAACCAGGATTCTTCCCACTAGTTAGAAAGAACCAACTGAGACCACCCCCACTGCCCCCACAAGGAGCTGAACCATACAGCTACAGAACCAGTTGGGAGAAGGAAAGAGGTGTTGGCAGTACTTAAGATTCACCAATCCAGACACCCCGTAACGAGGCTACAGACAGACACCCCACCACGGGGCTACAGACAGACACCCTGTGATAGGGCTACAGTTAAGGATGTCTCCCCAGGACTATTTCTCCGTTGCAATTAAATCCATGCACATTGGGTCAGCAGCACCCAGCCAGTAGAGAGAGTACCAGAGTCAGTCCCCAGTCCAAGAGAACTAGGCAGTCACTTGGGCTGGCTTCTGAATCCATCACTGGAGGGGGCCCACTGAACCACGGGAAGGTAGCCACAAGGGCAATCCTGGATGAGCCCTCAAACTTGTAACCGCCCAAGGGGTTCACTTTGCCCACTGCCTAAACATAGCCAATTCATCAAGACAAGGGAATTGCAATAGAGAAAGAGTAATTCATGCAGAGCCAGATGTGAGGGAGACTGGAGTTTTATTATTACTCAAATCAGTCTCCTTGAGCTTTCAGAGAGCAGAGTTTTTAAGGATAACTTGGTGAGTGGGGGAAGCCAGTGGGCCAGAAGTGCTCATTGGTCAGAGATGAAATCATAGGAAGTTGGAGCTGTCTTCTTGCATCCAGTCAGTTCTTGGGTGGGGGCCACAAGATCAGATGAGCCAGTTTATTGATCTGGGTGGGGCCAACTGATCCATCAAGTGCAGGGTCTGCAAAATATCTCAAGCATTGATCTTAGGAGCAGTTTATGGAGGGTCAGAATCTTGTATCCTCCAGCTGCATGACTCCTAAACCATAATTTCTACTCTTGTGGCTAATGTTAGTCTTACAAACACAATCTAGTCCCCAGGTAAGAAGGAGGTCTGCCTTGGGAAAAGGTTGTTACCATCTTTGCTTAAACTATAAACTAATTTTTTCCCAAAGTTAGTTCAGCCTACGCCCAGGAATGAACAAGGATAGCTGGGAGGTTGGAAGCAAGATGGAGTCAGTTAAGTTAGATCTCTTTCACCATCTCAGTCATAATTTTGCCAACGCAGTTTCACAGTTACTGAGGAAGAAGGGCAGAGAATATTTTATCTGGTGAATCTGTGGAAATGCATCTTTCTATAGCCAAAGAAATTGCTCTGTCAGAAGGGGAAAGCAAGGAGAATATGTTATATGGGCATATTTCTATTTAACAAAACCTAGGGAAAGCTAATTGTTCCAAGCTAAGATCAGAAAGATAGAACAAAAGTGAAAAATGTGAATTTGTTTTACAAATCTTGCCGGTATCTGGATACACAACGAATGACTCATCCAGGGGCCTATTTTTGCACAGGACCACAAAGACCGGTAACTGTTTATGAGTGGGCATAAGGAACCCAGCAGAGTAATCATCTGGCAATTCAGATGCAGATTGCAGGCATGCAGGAAAAGGGTGGGAACTTGCAGCTTTGATGGGTAAAACTGCTGACTTTAGTCATAAAGACCAAGGATTAAATATGTTTGCTTTGTTAGGGATGAATCAGACTGAACAAAAATTGTCTCTAGTTGAGGTAGTTGAGTAGAGTGGCTGTGTTGTGAGTGCCTGGCAAATGTTGTTCTGTGTGAGACTGAAAAAAAAAGTCCCTACTACTGTCTCCATTGGCCAAGTAATCTTGTGGCAAACATTTATATAAATTATACAAACACTGCAATGCACTTTATGCCATGCTGTGATGCAAACTAGTTAATTAATATTATTGAACATATGGCATATGAAAGAAGAATGAGTTGAAAATGAGATATCAAATCTACATAATTAATAATATTTTGATTTAGAGGAATGGTAAGACAAGTGTCTCCAACATAGAAAGAGTGTGACTTCAGACAGGTCAGCTCAGCTTGTCTGTCTGTACAAATTGCTCTAGACCTGACACTACAACACATTGTGAGGGATAAATTCAAGGGAGAAGCAACAGCAGGAAAAGAAGGCCATTCCTTGGGGTGGGGCGGGGGGTGGAATTAAAATAACAGTAGATGCGTGTTCAAGTACTATGTTGTAGGGCCAAGATTATAAATCCTACAGAAATTTAAAGAGATCACTCAAAATGAAAACAAGTTAAAAATTTTGATGATCCATTTTACATTTGGTCAGTTGGGAAGCAATACAGTGTGATAGAAAACTAACTATATAATTTTAGAAAAATTACTCATTTCCTTTAAGCTTCAGCTTTTTTACTTGCAAGTTGAAAATCACTCTAGTAAGAATAAACAATGCTTACTGACAATATATCCCATTGAGAATTTCAAACTAGACTTTTGAGCTCGTTTATGAGCCATTATTTCACTCTTAATGCCTTACCTCTAATATGTCAATATTCATTTATTGACTGAAATCAGTGAGGCTTAAAAGTAAAACATAACTATATTTATTTTATTTTATTTATTTTTTTGAGATGGAGTTTTGCTCTTGTTGCCCAGGCTGGAGGGCAATGGCATGATCTCAGCTCACGGCAACCTATGCCTCCAGGGTTCAAGCGATTCTCCTGCCTCAGCCTCCCAAGTAGCTGGGATTATAGGCATGCACCACCATGCCTGGCTAATTTTCTATTCTTATTAAAGACGGGGTTTCTCCATGTTGGTCGGGCTAGTCTCGAACTTCTGACCTCGGGTCATCCACCCACCTCGGCCTCCCAAAGTGCTGGGATTACAGGCATGAGCCACTGCACCCAGCCAAAAGATAACTATCTTTTAAATTAACAACAAAAAATAAATTAGACAGTGCTTATGGTGATGTGATAATTGTGCAATTGCTGATGGAATTGTCATCCTTTGGAATGCAAATTGGAAATATCTATTATGCTTATATCTTTTGACCTAATAATTCTGTCTCTGTCTAAGGTATAATATATATTGCAGGAAACCTATTAGTACAGAGGTGCTCACTCCAACCTTGATCAATAGAGCAATGTATTATATGCAACAAAATAAAAAATATATAGAGCTGTTTAGGAAAATTGATGGAATATCATAAAACTACTAAAACTGACAGTTAAAGACTATAATAAAGGCAACCCAAGTGTCCATCCAAGTGAAAATAGAAGAAAAAAATGTGGTATATTCACAATGGTTTATTGTACAGAAATCATAATGAATGACATAGAGTGACAGACAACATTGGGAATAAATCTTAGTAATAAGATTATTAAATGAAAAGATAAATTCCAAAAGATTACATGCAGTATGCTCAACTTTTAAACAATCTAAAAAAAAATAAGCTTTTAAGGAGTGCATCTAAATGCAATACATGAAATAAGAGATTGGTAAGAACAGAATTTTGAATGATTGTTACCTTTAGTAGGGAAAGGCAGAGTGAGGAATGAGGAACAAAACATTTGATGTAGGTTAATATGAAGCTCCTAATATATGAGGAGATGATGGTGAATTTGTGAGAGATCTTATAGTGTTACAAATAAGTGAGTAAAAAATTAATAGGGCCTTGCATGAACATTACATAGCATTTGTCATGAACAAAGATTGTAATTCCTGTAATTATGTATACCTAAGGGCCAAAGGGAAGGAGAAGACTAAGACACATATTTTTAAAATATACAATAATTTTTAAGGATTTATTACTAAAAAATTAGGTAATAAACACAAATAATAATTGTGTTACTGTGGTGACTGTGATATTTTTCTTTTCTCTTTCAAATTTTCTAAAATATATTTTTTTAATGACAACAAACGCTTACAACTCATTAAAAAACAGTGTGTCGATGTGTATGTCAATGCACTTTTATAAACATGAAGTAGACAAATGAAATAAACTAAAATTGCTTGGCATTTCAGCAGGCTGAGGACCAATCCCCATGGCTGAAAGACCTGAGAAGGGTCACTGTTGACCTTGCATTGACAAATAGTTTAAAAATCAATCAAGAAAAAACAAATGTGACTATTTGTGAGAGTACATGCCAGATCCAATTAGTAGTGAAAACTTATATTGCCTACTAGAAAAATCTCTATTTGGCATCGACCCAGAAGGTGCAACAGTTGGGCCTCAAACATGAAAGCAATATAACTGATATGCGTTCTGGCTCAGTTATTTCTGCAAAGGTTGTATATGGAAGAATTTTAGATGAGTATACATAGCATGGGCTTTTAGTCTACTCATTGAATGTTGATGTGCAGAAAACCAGTAAGAATAGGGCATGATTCATAATAGAAGCAAATTGATTGGACACTTTGCAATGATGTTCATAGAGAAGGACACCGGTGCATGCTTGCATGTGAATGTACAGAAAGCTGGCTCAGAATTGGAAAAATATTATACCAAATTTATGTTTTTATAAAACATTTAGCTACAAACCTTTGATTTGTAGATATTTTAGGCCATTTTCAACCTTCCTTTTGGCTTTTGAAATATAAAGCATAGTATTACTTTAAACTATAATACTTTTCATATTTGAAGAATACTAGATGCATGAAATGAGCAGTACATTTTGCAGCACTGTAGCATGTATGTTTTTCTCTAATTCAGTATTTTCTTTGTAGTATACTCTCTTTAATACAAATAAATCAGTGTATTTCATAGCATATTTATTCCAGTTTTTTTCCCCCAGTAATTGAAAAAATATCTTCTTGGACAAGAAGTAACTTTCAAAAAGAAAATGTCTGTTTGGGAGTTTTAAAGGATCCTTTTCCTTTTTCTTCTCTTTTGTATGGTTCTTCATTGCAAAGTACCAATACAATTGCAAAGTACCACTTAAAAAATATTTTGTGAAACACTTATAATTTCTTATCAATCATATTTTATAATCAAAAGTGTTTGGGTTTTCTCTTCTTCCTAGTTATTTAAAGACTAGGCCTTTCAGCAGTAGGCATGGAAGGCTGTAGATTGAAATGAAATCGAGTCTAAGGTTTGAAAGAAAGATAGTTGAGTTTGAACCCTCATCCTGCTCTTTAGAAAAAAATCATGTAAATTCTTTGAATCTCATTTTTCTAACATGTGAGTAGGAAGAAGAGGAAGGCAGCCAACATAGCTCACAAGATTCTTTTGAAAACAAGTAAGTTAGTGTACATTCATATAAGCAAAAGTCTTATTATTTTTACTATTAGGATAAAGAACTTGAAGCCAAACTCTCTTCCCTGTGCAAGTTAGTTGAGTATGTCCTAAAAGGACATGAAAACACCAAACAATTTTTTTTTTCAAAGTTTCTCCTTCAAACTCAGGCACCTATTGTGAGACAATGCCAATGCCTGCCATGTTTCTCTGAGAGTGAGCATAGCAGCGTTTGCTCTCAGCAGAGATGAACTGCATGTCTGTAGGCTCCTTTGTGAGCACCTATATAGGTGTGCTGAGGAGATTATGAGTGTGAGGCTTCACTGTGTCAGAAAGTGGAATAGAAATGTGGCACAAGTGAATTCTGACAGTATAAACATAGCCTGTAAGGCTTCTTGCATTGCTATAAATCACAATGTTTCAATATATATATATTGCTTGTGTTTGCGCATTTTTAATTGCTTATTCATATTTATGTAGAAAGATTAGAAACAAAAAAATAAAAGCAAGCGGGAAAAAATTGCCCATAATCCTATCACTATTGGCATGATAGCCATATTTGCACTGTTAGTGTGTAAGCACTAGTATCATTTTGGAGAATACTTTCTTTTAATGTGTATGAATGAAATAAATGTATCTTTAAAGTGGGATCATCGTAGATACAGTTTTTGGGAAACTACACTTAGCATATAGCAACATGTCATCAACATGCCACATATTTATCAATATAGACCCCATCATTTGTAATGATTGGGTAGAATTTCATTTTATGGCTGTATGAGTTATTTAAGTATTAACCTAAGGCTGTCCATTTATTTTCAATTTTCCCCCTATTATAAAGAATATTGTGATATTCAAATCTTCACATTTTCATTTTTATGAATCCATCTGATTACTAGGGAAAATTCTTAGAAATAGAATTTCTGAATTAAATGCATCACTTCCTTTTATATTTCATAACATTTTTACTAATTTTAATCTGTAAGAGTGTGTTGCTTTTCAGTCTCAATCACAGTGACAATTTTCCTCCTTTGATAGCCTAATAGTTGGTGAGGGCAGGGAAGACATCTTGTCTTATATTCATGGTTATGGTTACTAGTGAAGTATAATATTTTCATCATATTTTGTTAATCACTTACATTTTTTATTTTTGTAAGTTGCTTGTTTATACTTTTTGCCCACTTTCCTAGTGGCTTATATATTCTTTTTATTGACAATTTGTAAGATTTCTATATACTAAATTCATTAACCCTTTCTGTCACACATAGTTATAATTCTGTCATTTGCTTTTTCACTTGGATTGTGTTATTTTTCCCCATACGAATGTCTTAAAATATTTATTTAGTTAGATCTTTCCATTTCTGCCTTAATTCTTCATTGAAAGAGCTTTCTTTATCTATATAAATGCATTTATATTTTCCTCTAATATTGTTAAATTTCATTATTTGTACTTACATCTAATTCATTTGGAGACTTCATTTTATTTTAAGGTGTTAATTAAGGATCTACATTTATTCTTGTCAAATGGTTAGTTGTCATCACACTTTTAAAAAAGAAATTATCATATTATACACCTTTTCTTCACTGATTTAAAAGGCCACCTTTATTATGTACTGAATTCTTATTTGTAGTTTTGTCTGTTTCTGAACTTTCTGTTTTGTTTCCTTGATCTATGTATTTTGGCGCAAGCTTCATACTGTTTTAATATTTGAAGTTTTATAACTTGTTAAAAACTTGATATGATCCCCTATAATTATTTTGTTTTAAATCTTTTTTGACTTATTATTCCATGTTTAGTTTTCTAGTTGAATCTTAAAATTATTTTGTTAAGTTCTAAAGAAAAATTATGAGAATCATTTCCTTATAATGTGTGTCACTTTAGGGACGATTAACATCTTTAGAAAACTGAGTTCTCCCATTCAAAACATGGTGGTTATCTCCTTATAAGAACATCACTTTTTAGCATTCCTTAGAAAATGTTTGTATACCGTCTCCACATTTTGTGCAAAGTTTTTTCCAGTTTATGAAAGGTTTTTGTTTTGTACATTCATTTATTTAGTTTATAAATGTTTATTAACACATTATATACCAAGCCACGGGCTAAGTCTGATACTGAAGAAATATCAATGGGGCCAGAGAAGCACTGTTTAATAAAAATATACTGTGAGGTGTATCTGTAACTTCTAATATTTTCGTGGCTATAATAAAAAAGTAAAAGAAACAGATAAAATAAATTTTAACAGTATGTTTTATTTATCCAATATATCAACAAATTTTATTTCAATGTCTAATCAATATAAAAATTATTGATATATTCTGTTATTTTAAATCTACATCTTCAGCGGGGCGTGATGGCTCACGCCTGTAATCCCAGAACTTTGAGAGGCTGAGGCAGGCGAATCACGAGGTCAAGAGATCGAGATCATCCTGGCCAACATGGTGAAACCCTGTCTCTACTAAGAACACAAAAATTAGCTGGGCATGGTGGCACGCACCCGTAGTCCCAGTTACTCGGGAGGCTGAGGCAAGAGAATCGCTTGAACCTGGGAGGCAGAGGTTGCAGTGAGCTGAGATCGCACCACTGCACCCCAACCTGGCGACAGAGTGAGACTCTGTCAAAAAAAAAAAAAAAAACCTACATCTTCAAAATTCAGCATTTATTTTATGCTTATAGCACGTCTTAATTTGTATTTGCAACATTTGAAGCATTTAAGAGCCAGATGGAGCTACCACACTGAACAGTAAGGGACTAGAGAATTTGATGTCATTAATATTTAGACAATAATTGAAACTTTTCTCGTGGTGAAGCTTGTCCAAGTGGAGTCAAAGATGGATATAGGAAGATAGCTCGTAACAGAATACTAAAAAAGCACTGAGAGTTAGGAAATGCCAGCGAAGAGGGGGCCGCAAAAAAAGGTAAGAAAGAATGGTTTAAGAAACAGGACAAAAGGAACATGACACCTGAGATTTGGAAGATGAAAAAGAGTGTTTCAAGAAAGAGGAGTTTGTTCCTACATTAAGAACTTTGCTAACTTTACCAAGGTGCATCTTCAGTGAAGAGTTGGATAGCATCAAAAAATTATTGGCAATAAAGAAGTAATGATCAAGTAATTGTTTTAAATTGAGTATCTAAAAAATTTGGCTAGGCTGAGAAGAATTTTAACTGTATTATAACTTTCAAATTATTTCAAATGTTTAATTTTTATCTAAAGATACATTTCACACCTAAGTATAAAACTTTCGATTTCATTATGTAATGTGTAAAGTCATCCTTTACTCCTCAATTTTTCTCACAATTCAAATCTAATAAATTATAAAATCTTGTAGTTTACACATTTAAAATCTTATCTCAAGCTGGGTGTGGTGGCTCATGCCTGTAATCCCAGCACTTCGGGAGGTCGAGGCAGATGGATCCCCTGAGGTCAGGAGTTCAAGACCAGCCTGGCCTACATGGTGAAACCCCATCTCTACTAAAAATACAAAAAATTAGCTGGGCGTGGTAGCCGGCACCTGTAATCCCAGCTACTTGGGAGGCTGAGGCAGGAGAATCTCTTGAACCCGTGAGACAGAGGTTGCAGTGAGCCGAGATTGTGCCATTGCACTCCAGTCTGGGCAACAAGAGCAAAACTCCATCTCAAAAAAAAAATAATTATCTTACAACTCATTCCATGTCATCCAGGCACATGCCACCTTCACCTACTGCAATCCTTTTAAACCAGACTCCCTGATTTCATCTGGCCCCCTATTCCATATTTCACTCTGAGCCAGAGTGATTCTTTTACAATGTAAGTCAGTTCCTCTTATTCCTTTGCTGAAAATCCAGTGAGGGTTTCCTATCTCTCTCAGAGAATAAGGGAAAGTACTTAAAAATTTCCTGCAAGTTCCTCTGTGATTTGACCATCTGTTGCCTCACTGACAGCAATTCCTGCAGCTCTTCTCCCTTATACCATCCAACTATTCTGATGGGCCCTTGAGCCTAGAAAGCCTGTTTCCACCTCTGAGCTCCCTCCTTCAATTCATTCAATGTTTTGATCAGATGTCACTTTATCAAAAAAAGACCTTTACTGGTATAATAAAAAAAAGCAGTCCCCTTTCCCATCTGCTTTAATTTTTCTTGATAACACTTCTCACCATATGACCTATTCTATTCTGTTCTTTTCTATTCTCTTTTCTTCTCTTCTCTTCCCTCCTTCTACTGTAAAGTGGGTGCCATAAAGTAATAGGCTTTCTTTTTCTCACTACTAAATCTCCAGAGCCAAGAACAGTGCCTGGCACTTAGTAAGTCTGCAATAATATTTGTTAACTGACTGACTAGCTGAATGAAGGATGTCTAGATGTGAAATAATCAACATACATTTAACAATTAATTTTGGAATTAAAAATAATGTTTCCAATTTTGAAGCCTTTCAGAAAGAGATTTTTCTCCCCAAGAGAGGATTCAATATCATGCTTTGAAAAACTGAAATAAAAGGGAATTTGAATTATAAAGACAGAATTTGCAAATATTACAATTTTAAGAATTTTTTAACTGATGCAAATTTATTGTGATAATTGAGAATAAAATTATTTCTCAAAATGTCATACGACATAGAAATAAAAAGGTTAACACTTTGGAGACTTTACTGCAAGATTCTTAGGGCTCGAGTCCCAGCTCTACCACTTTCTAGCTGCACAACTTTAGGTTCCTCTCTACGCCTCAGTTTTCTCATCTGTTATTTCTTAGGGTTAATGATTGCATCTAATTTATAAAGCTGTTGTAAGGAGCAAATGGCTTAAATTATGTAAATGACTTAGAACAGCGTTTGGAACATAGTGTCTCATAAGAATTTATTATTATTTATTTGATAATATAGTATTATCCCTTCTCAAGAAAGTAGGTGCTCTTACTTAAGAAAGTAGGTGATGGAATTGGGGGATTTTATTTGTTGTTTGTTTATTTTTCTCTGCAATGTTTCTAAGGAGAAATCTCATAGGAGGAATCTAGGCAGTGTAAATTGTGTAGATACAATAAGTGGATGAGAGAATTAAGGCAATTTCTAGTTATGTGCATAAACACCTTATTTTTTTCACATGTGGAATGCAGAGAAACTTTTTGAGCCCTTATGTTTGACAAAAGAATGCTTTATTTCTTCATTTTACTTTACACGAATAGGCAAAGTTAAATAGCAAATAAGGCAAATTCAGCAGGGGATACCTAAAGCTCCAACCCCAAGCTCTAACCTTGAGACTAAATGAGGATAGTACAAATGCACAAACCTTAGATTTAAAAAAAAAAACAAAACTGACTTAATGAAAAAGTCATATCCTTAAATATTTATCCTCTTCAGGTAAATCTTATTCAAACTCTTCATCCATACTTTTCTCCTAGAAATTAACTCCAATAATGATATATTTTAGCCTTCCAAGCTATTTAGTGTCATAATTGATGCTGAGTTTTAAATCATTCCTATCGCCTGTGTTTATATGTATTTATCATCCTATTTAGTTGCTATCTTTATAAAATTAGGTCTTCTGCTTCCTTAGTTATTCCCCATAGAGCCAAGAATAGTGCTCAGCAAATAACATTATTGGTGGAAATATGACAATCAAACAGAATTACTAAGGATGAATGTCATGTCCTCTCTTTAAAATATTATGCTTTAAAAAATATAATCTGTTATTTAAAAGTAAGTTTTAACAAGGAAAAGATTATTGTTCCATATGTAAAATATTTGACATGGTTTCTTGAACATAATGAACACTTAACTAAAAGTTGGTTTCTCTTCTCCTACCATGACCTGAGACACATTTATTAGCTGCTCTCTGTCCAAATGTCTCAGCCTAAAATCCAAGAACAATCAAGACTTGGCATTCAATTTAACTGAGCAAAATATTCACTTTAAGGATAGCAAATACAAAAGAATGATATAATATTACTTTTCCCCAACTTTGCCCCAGGGTTTGTAATCTTATCAGAGAGCAAGTCATACAAACAGGAAATGATATCTTATGAAATGCTGAAACAGCACTGATATAAACAAGAGATCAAGAAGGGAACAACAATCACTTTGTTATCTTTTTAGATAGGAATTGAGTCAGGGAGAAAGTGGTTTCTCAGCTAAACCCTAAAAAATATTTACAGTTTGGAGAAGAAGATTGGGGGAAAGATGGTTAAGAATCCTTCTTTGGAAATTTCAGATTTTTAATCTTTGGCCAGGACACATTTACAGACCATCTATTAAATTTAAAAGAGATCTTAGCTACCTTTGTAAGCTTTGCTCTTCCCTAATCTACTCAAAGATAACTCAGAGTATAAACAAAGTTTAGAAGATCAATCTAAGACAAAAATCTCATGGAATTATATAAAATGGTTCCTTTAAAAACATACTGAAGGATTTGTGTTGCAGGGAAATAGGTCTTAAGAAGGGGGAAAAGTGAAATATATCCTCAACATTTATCATAATAGAGCCTAGTATCTTTTATTTTGTCACCTACACCCTAGGGAAATATACTATGAGCCACATTTTTACCTGCATATTTCTTTCTCTTTTGTAAAAAAAATTAACATGAATATAGTCCTTAAAGTCATCATATTGATATGTCATAATTAAAAATTAACTAAATAAACAATTAGTTATTTCATTATTTGCAAAATGTGATTTTCCTGAAAACAAAACTAACCAGCACAACAAAATCATTTATAGGACATAATCCAGTGGAAAGCAATAGATTAAAGGAGTTGGGGGTGGAGAGAAGGTAATTTGTTTTACAGTCCCAGCTTTATTTTATTTTAATACGTGTCATCCTGTAAAAATCCTGCATCTTAACTTTAAAAGAAAGGTATTGATGTAAGATTTGGAGAGGGTTGGAGAAAAAGAATGAGAAAGCTACAGGAATTGGGAGAAATTTATAGTTAGAACTGATACTGAGTGAAAATTAAGAGTACATACCTAGCATGTTTTGTGCTTCCTTTCTTCCAGAGAGGAAATGACACTTTAGATTCCCTGGGATGCTGGAACCACATGCAAAAAAGGATGGGCAAATTTGTCATTCAGAATTTATGAAGGATATTTTTTCTTCTCGCTGACTAAAAAGAACAAATCAAACACTAGGTTTCCAATTCTGAAAATTAGTGGACTCTGGAGAGCCAATTAAACATTATTCCCCTATCTCGACTCTGTTTTAACATCTTTCTTTATTGCACTGTTTCTTTCACTCACAAGGCAGGTAGATGGTGTTATCAGGCTAATTTGGGGACAGTTATCATTATAATGTAATTTTTTGCAATTATGTGGTAGACCAGGTGGCAAGACAGCATGGCTTTGCATTGCCAAGGTGCAAAATAAATTCAGTGTTCAATCAACCTGAGAGAGAAAGGACAACTCTCATTTGCATAAACATGTAGCCACGGAAACGAGATGCGCAGAGGTATAAGGGGAAAGAGACCTATTTTACATGATGTGCATAGAATATTTGACAGTTTAGATTGGAGGCGTCATTGATGTGGGTTGGAATGGTACGGTTGGTTGCCATGGATATGGTTTTCCCTACTGGCAGTGCAGAGATTGGCAGGGATGGATGCTGGAAAAAAAAAAAAAACCCAAACCACTGCAACACTCTGGCAGCCTCATTCTTTTCTTTTGTTGAAAAGCTATGTATCCTTTCTGCACTAATGACAGCTCATCAAGTATGCAGTGTAATCTAGAAACACTGATATTTCTGTAATAAATCATTCATGTATAATATATATGTATTTATACATTCTATGCACATATATATGTGGCAATCTACATGTATATATTTGGAATAACATGTATGCAGATTAATAAAAGATTAGATTCAGGAGAAAAATATTTACTTTTGCCACTAGTTTCTATTTAGTATTAATTTGGGAAGCCCTTAGATACGAGGATTTATTAAATAAAATAAACAATGTATAAATCTACTGAATTATCATCTAACTTAGGAAAAGAGAATTGCATAGTATGTTTTTGTGGATAAGACAAACAATGAAAGGAAGGAGGAGTGGCTTGCCCCAACGGCCTAGTCTCTGAGTATTTGACCTCTATAGCCACTGCATTGCTGTCATAGAACTATGCAAATGCAGTTCGTCCATGAGAAAACAAGGCACTTTTTTATTTCCTTTTTGGTTCTATCACAACATGTAGCACAGTAAAAACCCAAGCAGGCTATTTATACTGTTTTTCAGAAATGCTGAAGGCACTTAATTTTCCTTTTCTAAAGGCTCACCCGTTTGTTATCTTGTTTTCATACAGTTAGTCCGAAACCTTGCTTTTATTAAAAGGTTTTCAGGGATGTCTTTTATCTTTAGAATTCATTCACTAACATATCATGCAAGCTGGGGCTAAAGGAGCAGAGCCTCAGCTGCCCAATCCTGCAGGGCGAGAACTGAGGACCTTCATCTCTGCTAATGGGCAGCTTTGCACTCGGCCATACTCCCGAGATTTGAATTCTGGTGGACAAGTTCTTATGACCTTGTGAGTTTCCTTCTACCCCTTCTAGACTGTGGAGGAATGTTGAGCGTCAAGGCATTTTGTAAATTATCTGTCCACCCTAACACTGGAAACTGAGAAAAGGGTTGGAAACAGTACTAATTGTGCAATTACAACATAGGATCATTTTTGAAACATAACCTGTCTTCTGCCCTTAATATTTGACTTTGCCGTGCATAGAGCCAAAATCTGATGAATAATTATCAATCAACTGATCTCAACTGGATTGAGACTTAAAATAATATGTAGTTGAAAGAATAATCAAAATATTCTTCTCTCACTTTATAAGAAAGTTCTTTTAATGGGCAAAATGAAGAAAGTCTGCATTGATATTACATAATTTTCCCCTTATTTAACATTTTAGGTGAAAATCTATTATTTATTGATAAAACTCGTGAAAAGCACTGGTTATTTTTGCTATTGCATCTTTCTTACATGAAGTGTACCAGTGGGTCAGGTCCTGTAAGAATCCACCCCCCACAACCCCAGCCCCATCATTGTTCTCAGCTTTTCCCTAGGAACCACTCAACAATTGCTAATATCCTTTCTATGGTAAACTAGTCAGTGACCTGTTTGTCAAGATGAAAATCAGCTGTAATCATATCATTTTTATTTTCATTTTCTTATTTCTTAGTTTACTTTTGTCAGTGCTTCTTAGAGTGATGAGCTCTTACTTATTCTTCAAATTCATTTGCTCTTAGCTGTACATATTGGACATTAATAAATATTCATTGCAAAAAAGTAAGTTAGCAACTGCTTTAATCTCTGTATTTCACTGTTTCTTAAGTTTTTAAAGATGAAATAGAACCTTAAATTCTATCCAGAGTTACAAGTGTATTATATAAGACCTATTTATGAACAATGAGATTCAAAATGATTATAAAGTGTTTAAGAGTGAGTACAAATTTTAATACAGAAAATCAACATAATGCACAGGGTCAAGGTAGATGCACCATTTCATCACGTGTAAATGTTCCTGTTTGGGCACCTCTTTTGCTTATACTTTGTTGTCTCATGCGTTTTGTTTTCTTTATTTCCTTTAACACCCCATGTTATTTTTTATTTTTCTTTTCCACTCCTGTGCTTCCTGTTTGTGTACACTCCTCCATTTGTAATCGATATAAAAGATACTATGTTGAAGAAAAATCAAGTGATGCTTGGGGCTTGTTCACCTTTGCCCAAATCTCTTGCAGACACTGGCAAGATTTTAGTATGTTCCTTTGTCTTATACAAAATATTTAGATGCTATAGCGTTGAGGCCCTCCACATAATTGTAAATACAGATGGTCCTCGAAAGCTAGTATGTAACACACACAGAAATAAAAGGTTTAAAAATCTTATTTCTAATTCAAAGAAAAAATTGCTTGCTCATCATTAGAAATCAATTCTTAGTCCTACAGGAATAAAGAAATATGAATGTGGTTATTTTATGAGCAGAGACCTGATTATTTCATGCTGTGAGTGTGATTCTTCAGTGGTCAGAAGGAGAGTTCTGGAGAGGTCTACTTTTCATGGGCAAGTGCACACTTGCCTCAATCTCACTCATAAATCAGGAGACAGTCACATGCACTTGGGCCTTAAATGTGTTCATTTCAAATCAGGCAGGAGGCCTGACTCACATAGTAAATTTTCAGGATTAGGATCTCCAAACCTTTATTATCGCATATGTAGATGGATTCATTTTCAGACTCTGATAACTGGTTCAATATTGTATCATTTTAAGGATTTGGTTGACTATTTTACTTTCTCACTTTTAGGTTGTTAAGATATATTATCATACTAGTTTTAGTCATGTCCATAAAAGAAAATGTAAATTTTACACTTTGCATCATAGGTTCATTTGCTCCCTCTGAAAATAGACATTTTCCTTGTTTCTTAGACTCATTCAAAATATAGACAGTATTTCTTCCTTGAAAGGAGAATAAGGAAGCAAACTGATTATTTGTTGTGATCAGGCTTATTAAAATAGAGACAGAAAACTAGAGTTCATTTCCTAGATCTGTCATGAGATGACTAAAAAGTGAGGGGCTCTCTTTCTTGTCTTACTTTCCTCATTTGTAAAGTGACGCACTCTGATCTTCACAAGCACATTTTGACTCAGTAATACGTGTAAGTCAGGATTTCCAAACTCTGTGATGAGGAGCAGTTATTGACTTTCCTTATGTGTTTTGACTGCAGCTTCAGGTGGGACAGGTGCTCTCCCGGCCATGATAGAGCCAGTTCCTGATGCAGACAGTGACAGGACAAGTTGATGACCAAAATATATGAAGGCAAAAATTACTGACACAGACTGGATGTAATCAGTATATGGCTTTGAGAGCTAATGATTTATTATGATCAATCTGTTGAGAACACCTAATTGTTGATGTCTTAGAATTTCTTGTAGAAAGGATTGCCTATGCTGACATGCCCTTTATACCTCAGCTTCTTTATCAATACGTAAAATTAAATATCCCTTTGTCTTCTATTTAAATCCATCCCCTTTCTTCAGATGGCATAAATACTAGTATAATAAAGCATAGGAAGTACAATGGTAATGTGAAAGGTACTGAAATTCCTAATATAGCATATATCTCAAATGGCATTTCTTGTATTCTGATAAAATTGTACTGACATTAAATTTTTACTCACAACCTGTCTACCTGCTATCTATAATTAACATGACCCCACATCTTTGCCATCAATTTTGTATTCTTTTAAGGCTACTTCTAAAGAGTTAATAGAAAAGAAAAAAAAAACTTTGGATTTCAGAATTACTGGATAGTGTTTCTTTATCTGGCAAAGAAAAAGCACTTTCATTCAGGGCTAACCTCAAATTTTATTTTTCTGGTCTTCAAAATGCCACATGTTATTTTCTCACTGTACCACTGCTCCATGTCACCCATGATGACATCAAACCATGTGCCAATATGAACTTACCCTTATCCAGTCTGCTCAATAGGATGATGCCCTTCACCGTTCAAATTAAATCTGAACCCTATGTCACTGCTCCTAAGCTGCTATTCATCAATTTATTTTTTTCATGTTGTCATGTAGCCATGCTGTGGCTTTTTCTAATGTCCTTATCTCTATCATTAATTTTACCTTCTGATGTAGTAGTACTGAATGATGTGATTTACAACTTAATGAAATGAGTTTTTGAAACATTAGATAAAATAGTAAATCAATTTTTATAAGAGTCGGTGATCTAGAGTTCTGAAGGTAGACTTAATTTGCCTCCTTTGCCTGACTTCATCTCAGGTGAAATGAATGGCATAGAACAATACAGTACACAATGCATCATGCATAATACATAGCAGTTGAATTCAATTTTAGTGGTTCTCCTAATGGTGTCCAGATGAGGACAGGGTGGGACTAAAAACATTGATTGGTGTTTTGAGGCAGCTCCTTGACTTTGTAATCTCACTTTCTTACCTTTTGTTTAACCTTTATGCTTGAGAATAAAATTTATCTCTATGGACACACATCCTTTGGGAAAGGGTGATTGACTTTTTTTACTGCTTGGGATGCCAAGATTTTAAAAAAAGGACTCAGTTGAAGGATATGTAGATTAACATAATAAAGAATATTAATAAACAATTGGGTCCAGTTTCCTGCCTTTAGGCAAGTGATTAGACAAACCACCTAAGTCCAATATTTTACACAATCAAAGATATTTATATTCTAAGTGGGAAAAGAAATAATTTCTTCTTGTTTCTCACCGAGCAACTCATTTAGGGTACTAAGACAGTTCCAAATATTACTTACATGTGTCTGGTATGGTAATCTGAATTCTATAACTGGGTGGTGGTAAATTCCAGGGTAAAACAATTAGAATCCAATCTGTTAAAAAAAATCGTATTTTTGAATACATATGGCGTATGATGCGGTTGTAATTAATCAGTTCATGAAATTCAGCATGAGCTGTTCCTATCATCTGAAGACCTTGTGTGTATATCTGCAAGATCTACTGTCAGGGGATCAAAAGGAACTGACACCAAGAGAATTTTTTAGTGGCCCCAAATGGTGGGATAGGAATATTCCAGACTCCCCTACTCATCACCTCATGCCTGAGGAGATGGAACACTAAGTGAAATTTCCAAGCTCAAAAAAAGGTATTTTTTCCATCTTAATTTTGAAATGTCTGTGGAAAAAGTCAGATTCAAGTAGGTGCCCACAGTGTAGGTGAACATGGAGCAAAGTGACAGCTGAACTTCACAGAAAACAAGTAGGTTGCTGTTATTCTTTTAGTGAAGTATAATGGAAGCAGTACTTATAATAAGAATGATACACTAGCAAGACAAATATAGGAAGCTTTGTAAACATTCCTGAAAGATGTTGACTTCACTTCCCTGGGCCTCAGCATCCTTATACATGAATAAAAGTATTGGATAGCTTCTAGACTTACAATTTCAATATCATCTGCGGCATAGAACACAAACATTTGTTGAGTCTCATTATGAAATGCATTGATGATGAAATAAATAGCAAAACATGTTCAAATTAATGGTGTGTCTGCACTTCGAGTTTCTCTGGCATTTCTGCTTCTGCAATTGAAGAAATAGTATCCAGTAGATATAACACAGATTAAAAAAAATAATAACCTGGAAAGATCCAGATCCCAGTGGCAGCTTTGTGATTATATATTTATATTCATTGGCCAGAAATATTTATATTCACTGTCCAGAAAGACAGGCTTATTGGATGTAGAATCCAAGTTTATAAAATAATGAGAAATTTCTACTTAAAGTAAACAAACTATCTCATAAAATCCTGAAATACTACAACTGACTACTCATGGAAACTTGAAAAACTTAATTTTAGCATAGGTCAGTATACCTGTAAGTATTTCATTACGTACCATATCCAACACAGGGCTCAATTCTGTAGCAGATATCAAAATATAAGATGTGATTCATACAGCCCAAATTTACAATTTAGTTGGGAGGGAAGATTAATAGACAAAACAACAATGAATCATGAAAGAGTTTATAAGTATGTGCTAAATTGTGCAGTGCAGACTACAAATATGCTATTTTACTGTTTTTACTGTGAGTGGTATAATATGGTACTCAGAAAAATGAAAATTTAAACAATTAGAAGTTAGATTAGGTGTCCCAAAGTATGTAACTCAGGACACAAATCACAGATGCTTTTAAACATGTTGCTTTTTGTTTTCTTTTTTTGCGACAAAGTCTCACTCTGTTGCCCAGGTTGGAGTGCAGTGGTGTGATCTTAGCTCACTGCAACCTCCAGCTCGAAGTTTCAAATGATTCTTAAGCCTCAGCCTCCAGAGTAGCTGGGACTACAGGCATGTGCCACCATGCCTGGCTAATTTTTAGCAGAGGAGGGGTTTCACCATGTTGGCCAGGCTGGTCTCAAACTCCTGACCTCAAGTGTTCTGCCTGCCTCGGCGTCTCAAAGTGCTGGGATTATAGGCATGAGCCACCGTGTCCACCTAACACGTGGCTTTTGAGGATAAAAGAACATTGTACTTTATAGCCCTGCTATTGGTTAGTAATAGTGTATCTCAGCATATATAATTTCATTTAATCTGGTATTTCCCAAATTTCATTAACCATAGGACCTTTAATGTCCCTGAGCACTTGTATTTATCCCAAAAACATTTTAGAAAATTCTGGACTTTGAAAATTCATAAGTCACAGAAATATAATGTAGTAGTAACTAAAAATAAGAAAGCCAGGAGTATGTTTGTTTTTGAAAAGATGAATTTCAGGATGACAATCAAGATCCAGGTTAATATAAATATTTGACTGAGGCCCGTGGCCCATCTAACTTGACTCTGGATAATTCTTAGGAATTATTGTGCTCTTAGGGATTTAGACCAGGCTAATATTTTTGTGTTTTTTATAAAATCATGACAAGGGTATAAATATAAGAAGAAATTATTATTAAAATATAGCCATTAATGATAGCCATGAATTAATTAAAACTTACCTCAGCAGTATATCATTTGACTCATCTGCATGTACTATCACAAGGTTTTAGTGACAAATTTGCCCTTGAGAATAAGAGCTTAGTTCTGATTGTAAGACGTTTTAGTTGGAAATTACTAATATAAACTGTAGCTGTGATTCAATAGAAAACTGGTCTAGGCCCCTCTATGTCTTTTCAGGGTAAATTACATTAAAGATTTACTCTTAAAAAACAAACGATTTCAAACACCTTATTTATAGCACTTTCTCCACCTCCACAATAAAATAGTTCACAAAAGTTAGTAATGGTGCTATCAAGATTTTAGCTGGGATAATTGGCCCACATCATTTTATGTTAAATCCAGCCACTGCTGTGTCTCAAAGAATTTGCACTCTTTAGTTAGAATAATTCTGAAGCCTCTTGTGTCACTAGGCTACTTAGAACCACATTGACAGGAAGGGGGTTTAAGGGTAAGTTGTTCGGGTAGAATGACATTTATAAGGATTTTTATTATTAGTATTCAATGATATACTCCATTGTGAACCCTTGACTCAGAGCAGTGTTTCTCAAACTTTCATGTGCAAAAGTACGACCTGGTGGATCTTGTTAAAGTGCATATTCTGATTCAGGAGGTTTGAGATCAGTTCCAAATTCTGCATTTCTAATAAGCTCCTAGGTGATGCTGGTCCCTGAACTACTCTTTAAGTTGCACAATTAGAGAGAATACTTAAGAGAAAGACTTGCTCCTCTTCAGTCCTAGGAGCTTATTGGTTTTTAATTCCCTGTGGCATACAGTACAGGGATATCAGGTACCGAAGCATTTGTTTCAAGAATGTTTCAAGAATGCCCCATTTCGACAAAATTTGGTCATTGTCATATCCAAAGCAGTGTTTTCTTAAAATGGGTAGTTTACTTCTTCAAGTAAGTTGCTGATTACTTTGTTCTCAAACTTTTGAAAAAGGGCAAGAAATTATTTGTGGGAAATCTCTGATTAATCCTGTCTTTAAAAAGTGAGACCAGAGAGACATTGCCCTTGCTTAGACCATATTGCATAAAGTCAACGGATCCTTGCACAGACTTAGTTGAGAGGATTTGTGGTTGCTTAAGCTTTAAATCAGAGCTTGAGCAAGACACTCGTGGGATTGGTCAGAATATGGCAGGGGCAGTTTTCAGGGAATGACCACTTCATTTTACCCCTAATGAGGTGGCAATGCCAAGATGCTGTGGATTTTACCCAAGTTGTTGTGTAGGCACTTTTTAATGAAGTCTCAGGCATATTTTTGCATGCTTTTACCCAGCAGTCTAACCATGCTTCAAAGTTTCAATCTTTTGATTGATCTCACTCATCTTGTTTGGGGGTGGGGGCTCGGGGGTAAGGGAAAGCTTCTGTAGCTGGTTGGAGGCAGATCCCACAAGAAAGCAATAAACTTCAGAATTGAATAAGAATCCAATTTGTGTAGGCTAACTCTTTTTGATAGTGTTAATTTTTTTCATTCTATGTGTACACTTCCATGACCAAAACTTCTTTTTCATCGGACCACTCATTAACTATAGCCCACAGCAGTTAATTTCCTGGCTCTCCCTCCCACTGCTACTTCACTTTATTTGTTTAGCTGACAGGCTTTTGAAGCAAGCCGGCTAAAGCCTACAAGAATTCCTGGTTTTTTTCTTCCTTCATTCTTGTTCTTATTAGGAATATGGACAAGATGCTAGTGTGTATATTCCAACTGAAAATTGTGCTAGAGTTTTCTATCTCTTGGGAAAGAATCAAATTGCTTCATAATCATCATGGACCCAATTCTGTAACTATTCGTAGACAAAATTCTTGTTAGTGCCAAGGGGAGTTTTGCCCTCATTTACGGCTACAAGATCAAGTGGTAAAGGTATTTATAGCCACCTCATTCTCCCTAGGAAAATAAGTTAAACTAGATGGAAAAAAATTACTAAATGTGCTATAGATGTTTTACTTTTTACTAAAACAATTCTTCTAAGTAAAAAAAATTTTTTAAAAAAAACCTTACAAAGAAGAAAAGAAAATTAAAATTAACTGCTGACTAGTACTTTAGCTGAAAATTATCTTCTTTCTCACTTTTCATAATATAATGCACATTTTACTTACAGGACACAATGAAATATAAAAATTACTGAATCTCCTTTCTTAGCCAAACATGGAGTGCAAATTCTGTCCCTCATAAAACACATAAAAAACTTTGAAAGTTACCGGGCCCTTAGAAAGTCAAACACATTCAAACAGCACTGTCTTTCCAAAAATGTATAGGCATCGACCTTATCAACACCAAGCTCACTCGTAATAGTACTTAAGTCTCTTCTCAGCCTTCCTCTTCCCCTCTTTCCACTTTGGCGTTCAAAAGGTGAATGCTGAATAGTAGAAAAAAACAGATAACTTCAAGCTGGAACTTTAGCTCTATTCTAGTTTCACAACTATCCCTTTGGTGAAAAGTCCTTGACCTTTCTGGTCTTAATAATTCATTTATAAATGAATGGGGTGGAGTAGCTATTCTCAAGTTTCTTCTAGATAAAAAAAAAAAAAAATCTCATGATAGCGACAGGTTATAAATTTTATACAAATATTTAACTTTATTTACATAATGGTAAAACTGAAAAGGGGAAAGCCAATTGATATATTATATTATTCATGTCCTACACAACTTTATAAACTTGTTTCTGATTTTAAAAAATTAAATGACTAGTTCAGCAGCAAGAGAAGAGACTTTAAATTCACACAGACTTGTATTAGATTGCTGGCTCTGTAAGGTGACTTTGGGCAAATCACTTTGTCTCAAAATAGAAATTTAAAATCGACTTATCAGTAAAATAGGGATATTGATACCTGTCTTACAGGATTGTTAAGATAATAAAGCAAGTAACACTTTCCATGCCAGACACATAACATCCCAATAAATGGTTGCCATTCTGACTGTATTATGCCCTATATAGGTACAGCTGAGGTGAACAAAAGTTCTCTGAAAAGGAATTTGAAGGAAAGAGACTTTATTCCAGGGAACACTTTGCAAACCGGGGAGATGCAGCCTTCAGTGTAAAAGCGGCCTTCAGTGTAAAATGAAGATATGTTCCAGAGAATAAGGAAAGCTTGACTTCTGTACAGAAAGTTCCAGCCCAGGTTCCCAATTTCCCAAGTTCACTTAGGCAAATGAAAAACGTCAAACTTGCTTAGTTCTGATTGGTTGATGCTACTGAGTTCTGATTGGTCAATGCATCTGAGTTCTGATTGGTTGATGCATGCCAGCCTAAGTGGTTGGCTCAGGCCAGGTGAACAGGAACAGTCAGGTATGAAAACCCTAAAGTTAGACAGCAGCATAGGTGTTCTGGTAACTCAGAGAAATGTTTGGCTCTATTTTAAATTTAGGCCCAGTTAGCCATTCAGGATTCATCTTGAGGGATTGACTTTTTCAGGTTCACAGTAGTAAAAAAAAGTAGTAAAAAAGTAGTTAAAAAAAAATTGGTTTATTATAATTAGGAGACTTGAATAATTCTAGTTCTTCCACAACTAGTTGAGTCACAGTTTGCTCCTTTATAAAATGAAGTATTGAAAAAAAGATTTTTTTTTTTTTTTTTTAGAGAAAGGGTCTTGCTGTGTTGCCCAAGCTCATCTTGAACTCCTGGCCTCAAGCAATCTTCCTCAGCCTCCTCAGTAGCTGAGATTTAAGGTGAGCACCACTGTGCCTGGCACCAAAGGATCTTTAGCTCTCCTTCTAGCCTAAATGTTTCAATTTAGTATTGAAAACATTTCAATTTAGTACCCAGCATACAGATATTCTTTCCTACAAGGATTTTAATAATCTCAATTGTTTTCAATAGTTTGTTATAACAGTTCTTGTTCTTCTCTGACTTTGCTAGTAAATATTGAGCCTTTTCCCTCTGGTGTCTGTATTAGTGGTACTTAGAATTAAAGTAGATTTTTCAAGGACAAACAAATTGATCTGTATTTGAAAACTAGGTCCTTGAATTTTATAGGAAAAGACATTTAAAATAATAAAATACAAATATTGTATTTTTAGTATTCAAATCAACCCCTTAGTAATTTGGCTTATGAAGAGCAGAAAGAAAGGAATTTAGAAGAACCTCAACAGAGTAATAATTATTTAAACACAGGAACATTTCCCTTGAGTTGATAGTGCAGTATATTTTTTTCCTATTCAAAATGAACCTACAATAAAATATGCTAAAAACATAACTGGCACTTTTGTTTTGTACTGTGAGTGAATTTCAAGTACATACTATTTTACTCTGAGGTATCCATTAGGATTGGATCTTCATTTCATAGTTGGATAGCTTTAATAAAATGAGAATCTGATTGACAACTCAACATATAGCCATTGTTCATTAAATTATCTGGTTTAAACAAAATAAATCTATTTAACAAATTATCTCTTATACTACGTCTGTGTTCCCTAAATATTGACAGTCACTCAGAAATACCTATATTGCTATAGCTGGTTTCTCCTGGCACCAAAATATCATAGCTTGAAGAGTATTTAGAAGATTGCAATTAATTTTACATTTGAAACCACCAAACTATCAATGGCAGATAAAAGTCCGTATCTTTGTAAAAACAAATCTCTATCCCAAAAATCATGCAAAATATATATCCATGTTAGAGAAAAAAATGCTGCTAAAATGCCAATGAATTTTTCAAATGTATTTGAACAGGAATGCAGCCGGTGCATCACCTGATAATAAGTACATAAGATGTAAAACGAAATATATTGTGTGATGAACCTATATATATATATTCTTAAAGACATCTTGAACCATCATAAAATCATATTAGTATTGATTTTTGTTTAAATAAGCATTGCAGACTGAAATGCCTTCAGGGCATAGGCAAGTATCATAAATGTACGAAGGAGTCAGAAACAATTGAGAAGTGTTAGGACTCCACTTTATAGCACAATGTATGCCTTAACTAAAAACTGTTCACACTACATTAAAATCCAAATAAAAACCATGATAACCAAATTCAACACACAGGGGGCAGATTTTTATTCTCAAACAAATAAAAGAGTCAGATTCGCACAAGAGGCTTAGAGTTATATTCCTGCTTTAAAAAAGAGATAGTAATAGAAACTAAATACAGGAAGAAAATTTATTTGAGAAGTTGAGGATGAACGAGGAACAAATGGAAACTTAATTAAATTCAATCACAGAGAAGTCCTGAAAAGTGTATTTTATAATTCAAAGGACATAGCCAAGATACTTCCTCAGTTTTCCTCAAAGGAAAAAAAAATTGGAACGTTGATAGAAATGTTCTGAACTTTGACCCTAATAATGAAAATTCTATAATCACAGCTGAGAACCTGAAAAACGAAGACTCCTGGGACAAGGTTATCAATTTCAAATTCTTTCAACTTCTCTGTAGTAGGGACTTCAATGTAAAAAGGAAAAGAAAAAGAAGATGGAAGAGGAGAGGAAGAAAGAGAAAAAGGAAGTAGAGAAAAAAGATCAGAATTTTTTCTCTAGCCCATTGGTTCATGAGGTTTGACTGAGACAAATATACCGATCAAATTTAGCATTCTCTTTATTGAGACAGTGAAAGCATGTGGTCAAAATTTTCTCCTGTCTGAATGGCCACATTCAATTTATTAATTCATTTTAACTTCAAACAAATCAAATTATTTTCCTACACATCTAATCTGGTTGATTGCTAATCACTCATAAGATGACTGACAGGATGTGTCCCTATGGCCTCTCTGTCTAATCTCCATGGGATGGCTTGATTGGCTTGGGACTTCTATTAAACTGACATTTTACAGGCAAGGCTCTCATCTTATCTGTGAGGTTGTCTTATTCATTATTTTCCGTTCTCTTTTTTCTTTTTTTTTTTTTTTGTTCTCTGTGGCTACATTTTAGCTATATGAGGTTTTAAAGAACATGGGTCATTCTCCAACATAGGCTCCAAGTCCTAGCCTTTGAGGTAGTTGTGGGATGTGGTTTTAGCTCCCTGTGTCTTAATACCTCCAACTGTATTAAGACATGGCTTTGAGCATGTTTTCTCAAGGTGATGATGAGGCTTCACTGCACTAACTAACTAAAAGAGCTGTGACACATAGGGGAGTGAGCACTCAGTAAGCATGTGTTCCTTTTACACTCCTTACAACAAGAACTGGTAATTATAGCAAATCATCTTCAAGACTTTCAGAGCAACCCTGCTGATTACTAGAATCAATTCAAATGCTCTTTCTGGTCAGAAATAAAAATTCTCAAACAAAGAAAGCTTAAATTAATGCCTGAGAGGAATCTGAGGATTCCGTCACTGGCCAAGAACAAGGGTAGCAGCTATTGTAAACATGGAGATCATAAAGAATTTGGCCTATGGTTCTTGAGAGTAGGTACAGAAGCTTCTTAAGTAACAGTAATGCTTTTCTGAAGGAAGTCAAAGGTGGGGTTCTGACCACAGCTCAGAGAAACAAAGCCAGAAATTTCCAGTGAAAGAATTTCTATTCAGGTGGAATTGCTGACTAGCCATGAGATCATTTCTGAACACCAGTCATAAAGCTGTGCCTAAAATATGCTTAACACATTCAATTGCAATCAGTAAAAGCCATAGTCTTTAAATTTCATGATCAGATGTACCAAAGGACCCTTGTTCCTCTAGTCAAGTGAGTAAGTGCTGGCGAATTACCAAAATCTAAATTTAATAAAATTGTATTAGTCACCTTCTGAGGTGTCATCTCAGAGTAATGCTGAGATCAAAACCCTGAGTTGAACATGTCAAACCAATTGCAGGATGCCAGGTGGCTTATGAAACAAAGAGAAACAACTGACATGATGGTCGGTGTGGCTCTGCTGGTAAAGGAAGAGCATATTTACATTTTGAGAGTCAAGACCCTGGCCTATCCCTCTTGTCCAAATATATTGTCTGCCAGACTCTGGGCTATATTTTGTGTTTGTGTGCTATCACTGGCACACAGCAGTCAGTGCTCAGTAAATATTTTAGGCCACTGGTCTATGCTATGAGTTAAGCAAAATCTTTATGGACACTGTCCTGGTAACCAGGATGAAGTAGCAAAAGCAATTCATTTAGGAGTCAGGAAAAATGATCTCTGAACTCAGCTTCTTAATCTGAATAATGGGAATAATGATAAATGCCTGGCCAGTAGCAAAGGATAGTTTTAAATATAATTTCAAAACATAAGACAGCAAGTCACACATTCTGAAACCCTATACAAATCTGGCATTTATTTAACAATTATTTGTTATGCATATACCATGTGGCATGCACATTTTCCAGATTCCTAGAACAAATCAGAGAAAAAGAAAGAAATTAATCTGTGCTCTTATGAAGCTCACATTCCAGCAGGGAAGAGAGGCAACAAGCAATAGATGTTAAAAAAGAAAAATTAAAGTAAATGTCACCAGGTATTAAAAGGAATAATTGTAATAAAAAGGTAGAGCCAGATGAAGAGGCTTAGGAGTACGGGGCTGGGGAGAGGATTGCAAAGTGAACTAGGAATGTCAGGTTAGAGTTAGTCTTTTTGTGAAGGTGACACTTGAGCAAAGCCTGGAAGGAGGTGGGGGAGTTGGACTTTCAGATATCTGCGGGGAAGCACTGCAGGTCAAATGAACACCCTAAGATAGGAGCACATAAACAGCGTGGGTGAAGCGGAGTAAGTTATGGGAAGAATGGTGATAGGTGGAGTCAGAGGTACTGTGATCCCGATCTTATAAAGCCCTGTAGGCCTTTGTAAGGACTTTGGCTTTTACTTAGAGTAGAAAAGGAAGTCATTGCAAGATTTCTGACTGTAATTTTGAAAAACCTTTTTTTTCTTTGCCTACTGTTAAGAATAGATCATAGCGGTGCTAAGAATATGAAAGAGAAGGCAGGTAGGAAGTGCTTGCAGTAATCCCAGAGAGGAAGATGGCTTTCTCCAGGATGGTAATAGTGGAGGTGGTGAGAAGTAACATGCTTCTGAGAGCATTTTGATGGCACAACCAAAAGAATTTTCTGATGGTTGAATGTGGGGTATGAGAAAGAGAGGAGTGAAGATGACTCCAAGGTTTGGAACTTGATTAACTGAGAGAGAGTGCAGGTTTGGGGCATGGAACGACATTAAGAGTTCAGTTTGGGACATATTGGGTTTTATATCTCTACTATACCTCTGATTGTAAGTGTTGAGTAGGCAGTTAATGACATGAATCTGGAGATCAAGAAAGTCTGGAGGTGTAAATTTGGAAGCCATCAACATATATGTGGTATTTAAATCCATGAGACCAAAAAAGATTGTTCTAATGGATTTAAATAAAGTGCAATGGGGAAGGAGAAGAAGAGACCTAAGGACTGAGCCGTGGGTAACTCTAATATTTAGTTTGTTGGACAGAGGAGGAGGAACCAGCAGAGAAGACTGAGAAGGAACAGCCACTGACACAGAAGAAAAATCAGGAGAACGTGGTGAACTAGAAGTGAAATAAAGGAAAAGTTTCAAGGAGGAGGAGCCAACTGTGTCAAATGCTAATGTTAGGTAGGTAAGATGAGAACCAAAATTGACCATTGGATTTGGCAACATGGTGGTAACTCGTAAGTCGGAGAGATTGGTCTGAACGGACAATGAAGGATAACAACTACAACACATACACAACCTCCAGGCCCATATGTATGAGGACTGTGGGAGAAAAACAAACAAATAACAACAACAACAAAAAACCCAATCACTACCTCAGAGACATTGTAAGGAAAGTTGGGTTTGCATTAGAGTAAAAAGGTGAAAAGAATGTTCAGAGAAGAGGTTAAGGATCTAGGAGATTTTTTGACTTCAGACCATGAATTCTAGAAGACACAGTGGAAGGAGTTCATGAATTGGGGAGTGATGGGAAAGGAGTGAGAGGTCAAAACTGTGCAGAGCCCTGTGAGAATTCACGTGACAGATATAACAGGTGCCTGAGATTATGGACTTCTTTTGATGACTGGCAGGTCCTGGGATAACAGGCATAATGTAGTTAGGCCTGGTAGATTCAAGCATAGCATGTAGCAAAGCAGTAGATGTTAAGAGATTGGGAAGTCTGGGTGTATAGGCCTCCTTCTGAGCCCTACTGGCAGAGGCTATAAGGTTTGGGGAAGCTGTGGATAGTTGCAATCCAAAATGATTAATTTGGCCTTGACACTTCTGGGTAGAGTTGAGAGCCCTGAGGAATTTGCTTGTTTATGTAACTCACAATCTCTTCTTTACCCATGAGGAGAGTTGGAAAGCCTAGAAAAGACACAGGCAATGCCCTCATTTAAGAGTTCCCTTTAGACCTCTCTGAAGAAAGAACAGGAATTACCTCAAATACTTTTCCTTGTCTCTTGTTGATAGGACTGAAGACTTCTGGGGAAGCCACATATCATTTCTATCATTTGGATGCAAAGGATGGGAACCAAAGACCTTAAAGAAAGTGTGGTCTCAAAAAGATATTATTAGTTGAAGATATTCCCTAAATAAATGGAATATGGAGGTGTGGGCTAGGAGAAGGGACATAATATTCATTGAGTGGCTATTATGTGTTAAGTTACTAAACATATATGTTACATTCCTTTTAATCTAGCAATGTTATAGTTAAGTAGAAATGGTCATCCCTGTTATAAACACATTACATGCTTGAGCAGCTAACTCTGGGATTTGATATAAGGTCTAATTCTATGAAAATGTTGACAGGATCATTTTCCATATGGATTTCCATTCTTGTGGTGATACATACTGTTGTTAGTGTATCTAATTCCAAATATTTTATGAGTTGCTATGCATTTTCAGTAATTATTCCAAGTGTCTAGTATCTAGGCTGATTTTCAATGTTTGTTCATTGATTGAGTGGTTTGTTAATTCAGTCTTTTTTTTTCATTCAACAAATATGGGTGTTTACTATGTATAAAGCACCATAAATTTCTTCCATCACAGTTTTCATTAGCTGTCCAACTTGGTTGACTGAATCTCATTTTGTTTTCATCTTTAATTTAAACTTTTTTACATATCAATGCTAAATGTTAGAAATTCCTTAAATATTACAGAATCAGAGAAAAAAGTCCACCTTCAAAATAACTCCAATATTTAAAAATATTGGGTGTGTGATGTATTTATTTGAAACATGCAATATGGTTTTATGTTTTAACAATTTACTCTTCCTTAATTTGTAAATGTGTTTACTCATTCTACCAATTCACTAAAAACTCCAGTGCAAGGATTAAGAGTTACTGCTATGAAGTCAGGCAGACCTGATTTAGAATCCTAGCTCTACACATACTGACTGTGTAAATTTCAGCAAATTTCTGAAACTCTCTAAGCTTCAGTGTCTTCATCTGTTAAATGTTAATAACAATAATACCTACTTTACAGTGTTCTTGTAAAAACTAAAGAAGGTAGTGTGTGAAAACCTTGTAGCACGGTGCCTGAAGCATATCAACATTTCACTAAATGTTATCTAATATTATTACTATTATTTTTATTAATTCAAAAACATTGTGGACAATATAAAAATAGATGATACCTGGTCCCTAGCACCAAGGAGCTTATAATTCAGAAGAGAAAACAAGATGTATACAAATAATCATAGTTGGCAGTATAAATGCCATAAAAAGGTTTAGATCAAATGCAGAGGAAGAAGAAATTGCTTCTTCCCTAAATAATCAGGGAAGATTTTGGTTGAGGTTGACCATTCATTCACAGTTCTTGAATTGAACATTAGCTACAGGTTGAAGGATAATGAAAGTGAATCTAGAGATTTAAGGGATGATACCAGACTGACAGTAGCCATCCAGCAATGTCAATCTAGAGAAGAATTGTGGTATCCAGGGGCAAAGCCAGGTTCCAATACCTGCTTATGAGGATGAGAAGTTGCAGGAACTGAAAGGAATGAATTTCAGAATCAGAGTTATGAACCAAAGCCAGGTTGAAAGCTAGAGGAAGCATATAAGACACCAAGATTTGTTGTGGACTCAGGTACCAGAACCTATTTTCAGCACTAAATTTCCTTGCATAGATTTCCTTTTAAAAGAGCAAGAGCACACTTTCACAGTCACACTGTCTTTCATCCTAAAAGAAATCATTTGCCATTGGCCAGGCAGAGTTTTGGAAAGGAGATGTCTGTAGTTAGGGCGGATTCCAAATGAGAGTAATGGCACAAGCAAGAGTGCAGGGAATGGGAAAGTATGAGAAATGGTCATTCTTCTTTGTAGAACTTTAGGATTCACTCAAAAAAGAAAACCGTCTATGTAAAGCAATAATTATTTGGGGCAAAGTGAGATTTTAGAAATCAACTCGCTGTTTGCCTTTGACTTACATTGTATTTCAGAGTTGCGCTCTGTAAAGACTGTTTTGTGCCATTCTTTTAGCCTCCCTGCCCATTAGATGCTGTTATTTTTGTCTTGGGCTCATTAAACAAAGTACTGGTGGGGTATAGGCTCTGGCTTCCCTTGAAAGTGACTTCATCTATTGTAATCATGTTGTGCGATAATGTAACAGTAAGCTCTCTGTCAGAGCTCTGAGTCCTAAAATAGACCGGCAGGACCTCGCTTTCTTAGCCTGAGCATGTCACTATTGTACTTTGGTTCTGACAGTGCTGGCAAGGAAACCCAGAGGTGGAGCTCAATCCGTTTGTTCTCATCTCAAAGAACTTATAATATACTAAAAGCACTCCCAAAGGAAGCAAATGCTCATATAGAGCCCAGACTTTATTTCAAAGACATGAGGCACAAAGACTGCCTAGTTATACAGGAAAGAGAAACTCACTTTAGAGGCCGGATTGCCTCCTGGTTAAGAGCACAGAGTCAGACCAACTTGGGCAGAATTCTATGTCTACCACCAGGAACCACAGATAAACTAATTATCCTCTCAAAACCTCAGTTCCTCGTCTATAAGATAGAGAATTGTAACACCTATCTCAGAGGGTTATTGCCGAAAGGATATATAATGTAATGTATGCAGAGCATTTAGCTCTTAGCTTGGCACATAGTAAACATTCAACAGATTGCTGCTATTATTCATTCATAGACCCAAGAGGAATCTATATTGCAAAAGGAGTCAATGACTCAACACATATCTGGTTATAAAATTGGTTTCATACTAAACTAAGCTAAACAAGAGTTCATTGCATACCGAGACTGGTTAAAAACATGACTTAAGAATTAGTAAGATTAGCAGAGTGTGTCCCAGGAAGAAGTTTCCCAAAGGTTGAAGGGCTCACAGAAGCTCTCCGTGGTCACTCTGTGATGATCTCTACCCTATTCTTGGAACTTCACGTCCCCACAGCCCTGCAGTACTTTTCCACTGGCAAAGAGGGCTTACAATCCTGGCACTTTGAATTAAAGGTCATTGAAGTGTTGGGTCCCAGTATTCTCAGACCAGAGGGAGAACAGACCTGGCCATCTAAGTATGTGATACCACACTCTTAAAGAGCTACTCATTATCCAGTGAAATCAATCATTTAAGTAAAAAGAAGAGCTGGTGAATTTTTTTAAAAAGCAACTGAATCACAAAGAAGTGCATATGGAATAGATTAAGTGATCAGCATCACCTAGGTCCTTGTTAAAAATGCACATTCCTGGACTTCTACTGAATCAGAGCTTCTGAGCACATGGAGTCTCAGAACCTGTATTTTAAACAAGCACCCCCATGTGCTTCTGGTTTAAGTGGTCCCCACTTTGAGAATCACTGGTTTAAGTAAAGCTTACATATGCTGGGGAAAATCTGGAGGGAGTTCTACCTACAAGGCAGCCCAAATGACTGAAGCCATTAAAAAATACAAATAAAGCCTATTTCAACTAAAGCAATGTAGATGAGGAAAGGGTTGTGTTCTTTAGTAAGCCAGAAGTGAATTTTATTATTATTTAGAATGGTGGAAGATAATTAATCAATTTGGCTGGAACGCCATTTTGGATACTACTGCAGCAGCTTCTGAGATATGTCAATTTTATTCACAAGGAGCAATAATATAAGGCAATTTATTTTTCTAGGCCATTCATGCTTTAATGTACCCAATATTTATCAGCTCTTTGCAGTGTAAGTAATAAAAAGCAAATTAAAACAAATAAGAAATAAGAGCTGAGAAAGTAGTCAGTCCTCTTTTTCTCTATGATTAAAATTAAAATTCTATCTGGACATAATATTTTTGTAAGCTTTAAGGCAGGGCAATTTGCATCTTCCTGGCTTTTTCCCCTGTTCTGTTCACCTCTGTTATCAGGATGACGTTATTTATTTAATTTTTTTCAAGATCGCCATGTGTTTATTATGAAGATTTCTTTTTAATTGCTTGAATACAATCTTATGCTTCAGCCAGAACACAAGATGGTATAATAGATAACAGTATTAATTGTCATCATTTATGAGTGAAATCTGGGCACTGATTTAGATAGGGCAATGGGAGCAATGATATTTTTCCTTAAAAACAATGACATTTCTGTGATTTTGTACTTGCTTTACTGGGGTTGAGGATTTTTTTTAAGTGTAATGATAAAATATTGTGATAGATGGCAGTTCGTCTCTCTTAATTGCACTAAAAGCAAAACACTTATTCCTAAGGAATAGTTGTGGCTTATACAAATACAAATCTCTTTCTTTTCAATATAGAGTAAGCCACTCTCCATTTAAAGGATCAGTTCGTGTACAATCACAGTCCCTGGTAGTCTGCCAAACACAATAGGGGCATTAATTAACATGTGCTGGGGGATTCATCAACATGCACAGTGGTAGCATGCAATTGGAGCCTTTTTTTCCTCCCCTTCCCTCTCTACGTTGGCAGAATTCATGAAAGATCTACTCTAGTATGTAAATCAGTTCTTGCTAAACGCCTTGTAATGGAGTTCCTTTATTTTTCAAAGCTGTTGTCAGAGCTACTCACATACCCTAGAAAGACACTTACTCTGTCTCTTTCTCATGTTTAAAACCCAACTACAGTGGGCAAAAATAACATATTTGTTTACTTGTCATGCAGTCTGCACTGTAAATAAATCATCTGATAAATTACTTCCCAAAAAAGAACAGAATGAGATTCATTTCCTTTAATGTTGTACCGGTGGGGATGGCAGAATTATTCTCCCTGTTAGCCCAGGGTGACAGTATGCTGGTCTGCTAACTTACCTGAGTGTTGAGAGAAGCACTAAATTTAGCGTCTACCACCTGGCACGAGTAGGTGAAAAAAATGAGGAGTAAATTTGATTTAAATTACTTCTCAGTTGGGTCTTTGGTTTGTCTTACCTTGCTAAGCCCTCACTGACTGATTTCAGTACCTTTTGCATGTTCTTTGAGATCTAGATATGGGTTAATCACTCAGATCTGTAAGAACCAGACTTTGGACAATAGAAAATCTGCCCTCTAGAAGTAAAGAAAATGAAATCAAGGAAATAGAAAATTGTATCTTTATTTTCCACTTCTGAAAAAATGTATACATGTTTCAATTTAATTTGAGTTTTAGATTGTATAATTTGTGGCTAGTTCTTATTTTAAAAAATGAAATAATATATGTAAAGTGCTTAGCAAAGTACCTAAAATAAATGCCTAGTAAATGGCAGTAGAAATTATCCTTCGAGGTGGTGTTGGAGGTGTTATTATTATCATTTATTTTCTTTTATAGCCTGGAAATCACTAGTATTATAAAAAGTACAATGCAAATTTTATGTTTTAATCATTTTCAATATATATTAATAAAAGGCTTAGTTTTAGCATGTAGAGGAGATGTAGAATTTGAAGGTTCAATTTGATCATCTCAGCTGTTCCGTAAATGTGTGTACTTTATATGACTGCTTAAAGAGAGGCAGTTTAGTGATTCAGATGTCTTTAGAGTTATGCACACCTGGTTTCCATCTCAGTTCTACCATCGTGTGACCTTGAGCAAATTATTTAACTGCACCAAGGCTCAGTTTCCTCTTTTGTAAAATAGAAATAATGGTTGTAAAGATCCAGTGGGATGACATGTGTCAAACATTTGACAGTATCCTGGCACACAAAAATGACTCAATCATTGGTAGAGACACACTCTTAATGTGCCAAAAACTTTCCTTTTCTTATGCTGAAAGACACAGGGAGGATTCTTTAATCCCCATCAGGGGTGCGATTGCCGTCTTTTCCTCTTACAAAGAGCAGGTTCTCCTGCCCACTAACGCTCGGAGGAGCTGAGAAAACAAGCCATCTAGAAGCATTCCATGTTGTTGCCTTCTCCTCGATTATTCCCTGAGATTTACATTAGTATGTCATTAGCAGTCAATGAGAGTCAGATAATTAAAGCTGCTTTCATTTAAAACAAAAGCAAAACCAACCACTTTTAATAAATAGAAAATTCTGAAAAATTAAAATTTAAAAGTGAAAAATTATCTGTATACATTTTTCTCTTACTGGATATTTTTAGGAAAACAGGAAAATACCTCTGTTTCATAAGCTTTCATTCTATCATGAATTCCAGCATATTTATTTAAAAATTTTTTGGAAATGATAGAATATTTGTGGCAGTATTAATACTATATTTCCTTAAAATATGAAAAATTAGTTATACTATAAGTGGTTTTTCACTGAGAACATTTTTTGGCTATTAACACAAGTGTTTTGATATGCTTCTATGGATCCATTTCTTCCTAAAGCTCTATTTATATCATATTTGATTTGTGAGATATTAAATTATATCTCAGATATACTTTTATCTATAATAAGAAATTACAGGGTAATTTTACTACATTGAATTTAAACAGATTAAAAAATATGACTGAACTTGGATTTTATGTGGAAAAGAGGTTCAGCATTGTAGCCTATGTTCCTCATCCTCAGCTGTTATCAGTATGAGGAAGTAAAGTTAGTTCTATAGGAAAAAGCTTTCGGAGGAAGACCATTATTCTTTTATGAGAAAACAGAGCATCCATTATGCTTCATATTTATTATTTCATTGCTTCGAGTAGATTTATTTATTTTACTTTATTTTTATTTATTATTAATATTTTTTGATTGACAAATCATAATTATATATATTTATGGGGTACAAGGTGATGTTTTGATATATGTATTCAATGTGGCATGATGAAATTAAACTATCATATCCATCACATCACTTACCTATCACTTTTTGTTTGTTTGTTTGTTTGTTTGTTTGTTTTTTGAGACGGAGTCTCACTCTTGTCACCGAGGCTGGAGTGCAGTGGCGTGACCTCGGGTCACTGCAACCTCCGCCCCCTGATTCAAGCGATTCTCCTGCCTCAGCCTCCTGAGTAGCTGGGATTACAGGCGCCTGCCACCGTGCCGTGCCCGGATAATTTTTGTAACTTTTTTAGTAGAGACAGGGTTTCACCATCTTGGCCAGGCTGGTCTTGAACTCATAACCTCATGATCCACCCGCCTCAGCCTCCCAAAGTGCTGGGATTACAGGTGTAAGCACGCCCAGCCCACTTACCTATCATTTTTTAAGGTGAGAAATTTAAAATCTACTCTCTAAGTTATTTTGGAATATATAATACATTATTTTTGACTATAGTCACCCTGCTGTGCAATGTCTTTCAAAACCTATTCCCCTGGTCTATCTAAGCTTTGTACCCTTTGATCAACAATTTACCATTCCCTCTCTCCTTTTTCTTTTCCCCCAGTCTCTGGAAGCCATCATTCTACTCTCTACTTTTATGAGTTGCACTTTATCAGATTCCACATATAAGTGACATCATCTGGTATTTGTCTTTCTGTGCCTGGCTTGTTTACTTATCATAATGTCCTCCAAATTCATCCATGTTATCACAAATGACAAAACTCCCCATTCTTAAAGGTTGAATAGTATTCCATCGTGTGTATACACATTTTCTTTATCCATTCTTCTACTGATGAACACTTAGGTTGTTACCATATCTGGACTATTGTGAATAATGCTGCAATGAACATGAGAGTGCAGTTATTTCTTCAATATATTGATTTCTGTTCCTGTGGATATATACCTACAAGTGGAATCACCGGGTTGTATGGTAGTTCTACTTTAAGTTTTCTGAGGAACTTAATTTACATTCCTACCAACAATGTATAAGGATTGCCTTTTCTCTGCATCCTCTCTAATGCTTATACTTCATCTTTTAAATAAAAGCCATCCTAACAGGAGTAAGGTTATCTTATCATGGTTTTAATTTATATTTCCCTAATTAGTGAGTGATACTGAGCATTTTAAAATGTATCTATTGACCATTTGTGTGTCTTCTTTTGAGAAATGTCTGTTCAGGACCTTTGTCGAGTTTTAACTGGATTGTTTTCTTACTATTGAGTTGTTTGAGTTTCTTATATATTTTGGATATAGACCCCTTATTAGGTATATGGTTTGCAAATATTCCCTCCCATTCTGTGGGTTGTGTCTTTACTCTGTTGGCTATTTCCTTTGCTGTGCAGAAACTTTTTGTCTGAAGTTATCCCATTTATCTATTTGTGCTTTTGTTGCTTGTGACACAAAAATAGTTAGAATAGGCCACAAAAAATAATGAAAGAATGAATAAGACTTAGTATTTGCTAGCACAATGGGTGACTCTAGTCAAAAATAATTTAATTGTACATTTAAAAAGAAGAGTATAATTGAATCATTTATAACACATAGGAGAAATGCATGAGGTGATGGATATCCCATTTACCCTGATATGATTATTATGCATTACATGCTTGCATCAAAATAGCTTGTGCAACCCATAAATATATACATATACTATGTACCCAAAAAATTAAAAAATATATATGATATTTGAAAAGATACAACATATTGATAAGAGCAGATGTTAAGTGTTCTCACCATCAAAAAAAAATGAGTTAAGTATATGAGGTAACAAATATATAAAGTATTTGATTCAGCCATTCCATCATATCAAAATATGGTGTACATCATAAATATATATAATTTTTATTTTTGTCAATGAAACAGATTTTAAGAAAAGGTTATATCTAAAAAATAATGGCCTAACCCAACGTTGTGAAGCTTTTCTCCTATATTTTCTTAGTAGTTTTACAGTTTCAGGTTTTTAGTCCATTTTGAGTTGATTTTTGAATATGGTGTAAGGTAAGGGTTTACTTTCATTCCTCTGCATGTGGATATCCCGCTTCCCAACACTATTTACTGAAAAGACTGTCCTTTGCCCATTGTGTGTTTTTGGCACTTTTGTCAAAAATCTGTTTACTATTAATGCATGGGTTTATTTATGGGTTTTCTATCCTATTCTATTGGTCTATGTCTGTTTATATTCTAGTAACATGCTGTTTTGATTAAAATCACTTTATAATATGTTTTGAAATCAGGATGTATGACACCCTCAGCTTTGTTCTTTTTGCTCAAGATTGTTTTGACTATTTGGGGTCTTTTGTGATTACACGCAAATTTAACCATTGCTTTTTTCTGTGTCTGTAAAAAAATCACATTAGAATTTTGATAGAGATTGCATTGAATCTGTAGATCACTTTAATAATATAGACATTTTCATAATATTAATTTTTCCAATCCATGAACACAGGCTATCTTTCCATTTATTTATGTTTTCTTCATGTTGCTTCATTTTAAAGAAATAGATAACTGCCTATGGCCTCAAGGAGCTCGATTCCTTGTTGAGACTGGTCAGACATACATGGAACTTACTTATTGTTAGAGAATATGGAAGTTTGGGCATAAGTGGTTTTTCAGTTGAGACTATATAAGACATTTGTCTATACAAATCTTCTGAAATTGCAATTCCAGTGTTAATAGGAGAGATAATTAGTTAAGATCAACAAAAGCTTTTTTTTTTTTCTTGATTGGAGAAAGGCCAGGAAAAGAGCCCTCCTTGAGCATAACTGAGTCTCAATGAATTTGGGCTAAAGTGAGATAGGAATTGAGTGGAAGAAAGTGAGAGCAACAAAACTTGAAGTTTCTCCTTTCTGACTACTGCTGTTCCTTGATAAAGAGATGGTTATGGTCATCCAAGTTAATTATAATTTCCTGCTCATAGTGTTTGCTGAGAATATTTATTTATTATAAGTACTACTATGGAGTTTTCTATATGCCAGGTACCTCTCTGATTACCTTATAACTACGAACTTATTTAATCTTCAAAACAACCCTATGAGTCATGAATCATTATTAACATCTCCATTTTATAGGTGAGCGTACTGCAGCACTGAACAATTAACTAACTTGCTTAAGTTCTCCTAGCTAGAAAGTAGTTGGGCTGGGATTGCAACTCCAGACAGTTCGGCTCCAATGTCTGTGCTCTTATCCACCAGCTGAACCATGCTGCATCTCCAGCAAGCTGCTCTAGTCTTTTTGTCAGGCAAAAGTGAAATTGAGTAGAAGGAGAAGATGGGTGGCAGAGGAGAGTTGATAGAAACGTGTCACCTATTCAAGGTCACCAGATTGCATATCTGGCATCCTTGTGAGTCCAAAGTTGATGCTATGGCTGATTACAGCAAACTCTTATTAATTCATCAAGCAACAAACCAGAATTCAATAACATTAATTAATTGACTTGAGGTTAAATTCTTCCCAGTGTTTTGTTAAAGAATGCATAACATCTAATCAGTTAAAGACTACCAGTGACTTTGAATTACATATCATTTTGAATAAATCAGCACTGGTTTAACAAACCTTACTTATAATTAGTTATTAATAGTTATATCTTTGTTGGTATAAAAAACCATTATTGATACCAGTTTATTTTAAAAGGACTGTAATTGGAAGCAATTGCCAAGACTTCTTATTGTTCTTTTAGGATCCTGGAAGAACAAATGATTAAGCAGCCAAGTGTTTCAGCTATCATCTTTGCTTCTCAGTGGATTAACCCTTCCTCCTTATAGCTACAAGGAAATGAGAAGGAAAAGAAATGTGAATAGCCCTAGGAGAAATCGCCATGTTTTTTGAAAATCCTTGGTCTCTGAATATTTCCCACTGCTAATATAAAAAATGGGTGGAATAGGCCCAATAACCTTCCATGCATTTGTAGGTCTGTGTGTGTCGGGATCTGTGTTTAAAAGAATCCTGCCAACTACCAATGATATAACACTTACACACAGAAATGCCATTTCAAAAATAAGACATCATAATCTTAAGACAATTTAATTTTCTTGGATATCTAACTTTTGCTTTCTGAGCAAGGATCACTAAGTTAGAGTTAAGACTATGAACTTCAGAAAAACTGAAATCCCCTATGTCATTATCAGGTTTGCTATGTGGTAAGGACCTCTTTTTGCCTCCTTTCCTCCTCTCTCACCTAGCCACACAAGCATATGTGCACACACACACTGATACACATTCACATACAGATGTTGCATTTATAAACCACAACACTCTGCGGGAAGAACTGGCATCAGCTGACTTTTTTGTCTGATTTTTCTTCTCACCACCAGAGAGGACAAACCCATCAGCAATTAAATTGACTGATTTGGATTTTTTAAAAATATTCACCTGCTCAGAACTAAAATCACTGCTTGGGTGATGATGTCAGTGCTGCCTTTGACCACTTTAGAGGCTTTCCTCTTTGCTCACTTCTTTCCAGAATTCCCTCGCTGCATTCCCTACAGTCCCTCATGAATCCCTTCCTGTTGGAGTGAGGCTTTCAGCCTCCTCCTCTGTGAAATCAAAGTTCACATTTCCTATTAACCCATTGCCACTCTGATACATTTTGGTGCAAAACTTCTTTATAATTTCTATTAAGTGTAAATTGCTGTATAGCTCATGGGGGACACAAGCTAATTTGCAAAATTCAGCAATCCTCAGTGGCCATTCCTATCAATAGGGTCAATGAGCTATTGTGCTTGATGAGAGAGTGAATGAGGGGATGAGTGAGTGAAAGAGCAAGAGGCACTGTCCTTTCTCTTAATATATTTAGTATTCTCCTTATTGGTGCTGAAATGAGCATAGTTTTAAGACTTCTAAGAGGTCCATGCAGAGAGAGCTCAAAAATGACGTGAAATACAAAGCCTTGTGGCTACTTGCAGACACACAGTGATGGTGTGTTGGAAAACAAAATTTGACGGCTATACTCGTATTATGCATGTGACAAATGTTGGCACAAATAATTTATTTCTCTAAAGGAATTTACCTTAATACTTGTAAATGGAAGAAGGGATGACAGTACTATTTTCTATGTTGAGATTTTTTTTTAAACAACTAGTATTTTTTAAGATGTCTGTAGCAATCATCTTTGACACTTTATTTTTTATTTTATTTTACTTTAAGTTCTGGGATACATGTGCAGAACGTGCAGGTTTGTTACACAGGTATACATGTGCCATGGTGGTTTGCTGCACCTATCAACCCATCATCTAGGTTTTAAGCCCTGCATGCATTAGGTATTTGTGCTAATGCTCTCCCTCCCATTGCCCGCAACCCCCAACAGGCCCTGGTGTATGATGTTCCCCTCCCTGTGTCCATGTGTTCTCATTGTTCAGCTCCCACTTATGAGTGAGAATATGTGGTGTTTGGTTTTCTGTTCCTGTGTTAGTTTTCTGAAAATGATGGCTTCCAGCTTCATCCATTTTTGACACTTTTTAATGACTCATTTGTTGATCCCATTCAAAGCTTTAAAATACTACTGTTTAAATCTCTGATGATAAATGTTTTATTGTCATTCTTTGGTTAAATATGCACTATTAAAGAAAGTAGGAGAAGCTCAACGGAGTCCAGTCTCCCATTGACATTCAAGGGCTTTATATGTCTAAGATCCATCAAGGTTAATGAAAGTTGCCTCTGCAATTCCTTAGGCACTTGTGGGAGAATAGATCATTTAATTTCTACTCAGATGGCACCCCCACATGGAGTATCTGATCTGTTGGAGAAGTAAAAGACACAAGTTGGATGAACTGGAAGCTGACACACACAGCAGGTCATGTAAAATTGAAATTAACTTTTCTATTTGTCGTTTTCCTAATTAACAATATGTGACCAAACTACCAGAATGAAATATTATTTAAATCTTTTTCACCCCATTGGAACATTTACTCTGCCCTCATAAAGCATAGTGAATTGAGGCATGGGCAAAATTTAAGGACAATCACTAACAGAACAAAATAAAATTTAGTTTTGGAAATCACAGGATTTTCAAGTTTCAAATGGAAAGGCCAAATCATCTGCTCCCGGCTTTATATTATTGAAAGTCATATTTCAACAGTCTACTATTCATCCCCGGTCACTTGAGCTTAGTTATCATGAATGAAAATTGTGCTCTCTGCAAGATGTTGCCCCTCATAGGGAGCAAATACTGGGTTGGAATGACCATTAATGTGATTTTGTATGAAAACAAAAAAAAATTATTGTAAGTCATCTTACTTGGCTTTTTAGCAGAAAATATGACTCACAAATGATACCTACAAAGTAAATACAAAAGTACATTGCAACCTTTGTAGTTTCTTAAGCCTACCAGTCAAGTCAGAGGAGCTGGTTTCCAGGTTTATCCCAGACCGTCACTACCCCTGGGAGGCCTCATCTGATTTGATCTGCCACCACACCTCTGCCTTACCAGCTACCCTCTATGCTCCTCTGCCTCCTCTTCAGTCTCTCTGGTTCCTTTCTATTCTTCCAACACAGCCAACACCTGCTATCAGGACCTCTGTACTTCTGGTTTCTTCTGCCCAGAAAACTTCTCCTCCTTTATCGGCAGGGTTCCCTCCAACAATTGACTTCGCATTTTTGTTCAAATGTTGTTTCATCAAAGGTATGTTTCCTGATAATCATTTATAAAATAGCACCTTATCACCTTCCACCCCCTTTCCACTGCTTTATTTTTATTCCTATCACTTATTAACAGATGACATATACTTATCTTTTGTTAATGTCTCCTTCTCCCCACATCACTACTAAAATATAAGATGCATGAGGGCCAGTTTTATCTGCTTCTGTTTCCTCGGCTTCAGAAAGAGTGCCTGACCCATAGCGGGTCCCCAGTAAATATGTTGAGTGAATGAATGAAGAGCTTCTCTTTTGGCCCATTTCTAACAGCAGCACAGTTAATAACAGAAACTTGAGTTTGTAGCTTGAGACTGGAGTTTAAATTAAGACTTCATAATTTATGAGTTATAAAACATGGAGCAAGACAAATGACATCTCTTTGAGTTTAATTCTCCGTATCTGTAACATGATTAGAATAACACCTATCTTACTGAGGTATCTAAAAATATAAGTCAGTGTCCATTATGGAGTCACTATTGAAACGCTTCATGACATAGTAAATGTAAATTCTCTTCTAAATGTGTGGAATTTAAGAATCATCATATTTAAAAATTTTTATTTTTCTAAAGCAGATAAAACTGCTTCAAGTCCCTTCTTAATTGAATGGAGAGAAAATGTTTCTAAAAATGACGTTAGAAATAATTTGAGAATCTACTCCTTAGGTCATATAAGAATTCTAGGGTCCTACACATTCCAGGTTGTTCTGTGGGGCATCGTCTCATCTTCAGTCCATATTGGCTACCCTAATAGACTCATTGTCTGAGACAGCAGGGTCTCAGGTGGCTCCACTGTTCTAAATTGAAGACTCAAGTCATAACGTCCACCCTCTCTAGGTATTACCATAAATGCTTCCATCTGAGGTCTAGCCATCTCTCTATGATGTTGCATGGTACCAAAGCCCTGGTCCTTTCATCTGCAGAACTGGCAGGACCCTAGTTCCTTCCTTCTGCTATCTCCTAAAAACTAAATCTTTCTAAACCTCTCTTACTTCTCCAATTGGCCCTCCTAATCCTTGGGGGTGGGGGGTGGGCCTTCTCCCTATTGATAAATATAGCCCCATCATTTCTAAGAGTCTGAGTTTTTCCAAACCAAAGTACTGGATCTTTGGATCCCTGGAAATATGACAACGTCTAAAGCACAGAAAGACAAGGACTAGACAGTTTTTGCAGGATTATGTGAAGGGAAATAAGTATATCAGTAAGAATAGAGCACAAATTATTCTATTAATTACTCTGCCAAAATTGAATTCAATCAGGATTCTTGAAAGTGGGAAAAATACACTGGAATGCTCTTTCATCTCAATCATATTAAACATCCTATAAAGAAAGTTGTACGTCAACTTAGAATTTTTGTATGTTTAAGTATCAGGTGCTTTCTATAACCAAAGGGGTCAATTCAAAGAATAGCAGTCAGAACACCAACCATAAAACTGACTTTATGGACCTGAGCCTCATCAGAGTAATTTTGGAACTCTTCCTCGAGTCCCTTCCTTCTTAGGTAGCTGATATAAAGCTTGCTGCTTCTAGTCAGTTTTTCTTTCTTTCAGTGATGCTGTTACTTTAGTCACCTTACATTTTCAAGTTCTGGGCACAAAGCTACCCCTCGAATATTAACTTTCTGTGGCATCACAGAGTGACAGCCAATAACTGGGTTATTGGTGTTGCCACTTTTTTTTCCTAATACCAGAATTGTAAGTGGAGAAAAGCTTCCTTTGGTGGTCCCCAAGTCTAGTACTTGTAACTTCTACTAGCAGCTGAAATCTTCCTCACACTTCATATCTTATTCCTAGAAACTCAGTCAGGAAACCTTGACAAACTCCTGCTACCTCTAGAGCAGCGATCCCCAACGTTTTGGCACCAGGGACTGGTTTCGTGGTGTGTGTGTGCGGGGGGGAGGTGGGGGACTGGGGGGTGGTTTCAGGATGAAACTATTCCACCTCAGATCACCAGGCATCAGTTAAATTCTCATAAGGAGCCCACAAGCTAGATCCCTCGCATGTGCAGTTCACAATAGGGTTCAGGCTCCTGTGAGAATCTAATGCCACTGCTTATCTGACAGGAGGCAGAGCTCAGGTAACAATGCTTACCCGACAGCCACTCACCTCCTGCTATGCAGCCCAGTTCCTAACAGGCCGCAGACTGGTGCGTTGGGACCCCTACTCTAGAGGAAACAGATGTGTGTATATGTGTGTGTGTGTGTGTGTGTGTGTGTGTGTTCCTTATTCTTTAGGGACTTGGGCTTCTTCAAGGCAATTCTTTATCTACATCCAGCTCATACCCAAATTCAGGTCATCTGACCCAGAAGATCGCTGCTACATTTCTTTGTGTTTGCTTAGTAGTCTACTATTTATTAAAAAATCAGTTTGAATAGATTATCTTCTTTAAATCTCTCAAGAATCTCATGTTATAGACAGTTTTGTTGTTTTTATTTTACAAAAGAGGAAAATAGGATTTAGTGAGATTAAGTGTTTTTCTCCAAGTTAAGAGCTAGTAAGTGCTAACTGGATCTCAAACTCAGGTCATCTGACTACAAATCCTTGCCTCTGGCCCTACACAACAACTGTAGGATCCTGATTTATGTTTCACTTTCAAGCAGAGTATATAATTCATAATAGCTACTCAATAAATAATTATTAGCTTATTTATTGCATTTGCATAGGCCAGACCCTATGTTTTGGAACTAGTTTAGAAGGTAGGAACTTGGAGATCACATATGAATTTTACCAGGTAAACTCATACCTAATCAAATATAATCAGAGGTCAGAAGGTCAGAAGGTCTGAATTATTCTGTGTAAGCATCCTGCTATTACCGATGCTGTGATTGTCTAAGGGGCAGAGGGGAAAACATACTATAAGCCGAAATGAAGGAGATAAAAGTATTAACAAACTGAAACTCCAATTTTGCCCTCCCTTTCAGTAAGTTAGAGCAGCCTTCCCTACTTAGTCACACCCATCTCCTCTCACTTTTTTGCCACTTACCAGAAAGTAAGGATTTCTGTGGTTTTCCCTGGCAGAATTAAAATAATGGGCAAAGAACAACCCACTCATAGAGGCAGAAGGAAAGGGAGAAGGGTAGAAAGAATGAGAGCCAGAAAGGGGTGGGAGGTTGAAATCTTACAAAAATAATTCGGAGGAAGCAACTCAGAAGACGGTTCATGGAAAGAATGAGATGTGTCAATAATGCATCTAGCCGGAGAATATAATATGGAAAAATTGTTCTCTGGGATAAGACAGCAAAAGATTCCAGAGGCTTAGCGATACCAAGAATTAGAAACAATCATGGAGCTTTTAAGAAGAATGAGTATGAACTAGGTATTTCCATCCCCATCAGATGTTTATTCTGGAGATTTAAATAGATACAGAAATTCCTAATTGAACTGTATTTCTTTGAAAGCAAAGTAAGTTTATAACAACATGGGTGCCCAGATTTAAGAATGTTACATTAAGTCTGGTTAATATATATCAAGTGACTGAAAAAATATGAGTTATCCTGCATTTTTGTTGGTCACAGTATCTGTCATTATAGTACCTTCACAGGGATCACAAGTATTTTCCCTTTCTAAATTGTATTTTTAGTTGTAGCTGTTTTCACTATAAGGGTAAATAAAATTTTGCATGTTGAAGTCAACAATCTCAAGCCAAGATGTAATGCCTGAATTAATGCCATTATTCTCAGGTTAAAAAATAATGATTTCTTAGTTTTGAAATTGCAAAGACTAATGTCATATTTTAAATCTTATATAAAAACAATTTCTTTTCTTATAATTAAACAAAAGGGCAGCATTTATTTTTTCATCCAATTGCCACATGAGCTTTGTCTTTCCACTTCTCCCACTTGTCTTCTCACTCCACATATTGAGTATGAATGTGGGGACACTGATTCAATTATTTCAGTGTCAAATTGTTTGCTTCAGCTGTCATAATGGCTAACTATATGGCAATTTATTGGATTAAAAAGACACGACATCAAAATGAATACAATGTGCCTGATCTGTCATTCACCTATTTACTATACATGACAAAAAATTGATCTGTTAGGCCATCAAAATAGCTCTAGCCCACCTTCAAATTCTACTAATCTTATACAGAATAACCTATTTTACTTAAAAAACACACTGAGCTGAAGTTCACTCTTGCTGCCGTTTCTGCTCCCCTATTCCAAGAGTCTTCCAATTAAAAAAAAAACAACAGAATTTGCCGTATTTTCTATAGCTAAGAGAAAATTATTTTAATTTATATAAAATTTTAAAAGGGATAATTTATCTCTGTCTTCACTAATCAAAGCTCAAATTTGTAAAATGGAGGTACCTTTTCTGTTAGCGATAAGTACGTTAGTGGGAGAATTGGATGGCAGTGGTTGGAACTCGGAACATTTTATTTGAATTATATGTCACTGTATACAGACTCTTCCATGTATTTTAATTCTTATAACTTTTCCAAATGTCAACATTTAGAAATAAAATTGTCCATACTTTAGGGAGGTTTGCAAGTTTATTTCTTAAAAGCCCAAAAAATACCTTTTCATCCAGTTTTGTTATACAATATGAACAAGATATCCTGTTTCACTTTCAAAGAAATGTATTTCTGATTCCACATAACTCAGAAGTAATTAAGTAATTCTAAGTATTTTTTAAAATAACAATACACAATTGCCACTAGACTTAGAGTTATAAAATCATTATTGTTAGTGTGAAGTTTCTTAACAATTTAGTTTGGACATGAATACTTGAGTGGGGGATATATTGTCCATGACATCTATAGTCCTCTGGTTTAGTTCCAACAGGAAAGGGAAAAAAATAGAATTAAAGTTCAAGAAAAATCGTTAACAGTATAGGAAAAAACAGATAAATTATACATGAGAAGAAAGAAACAATATTTTACAAGCTACACAAATCACAGTTCTGTTAGACATTGTGTTGCTCTGAAGCTCTCAATTGCCTGTAGAATCACAACCAAACTCCTTAGTAACATCAAGTGTCAACATAGTTGTTCACACTTGATTTTCATCACTCCTCCTCAAGCAACTTATATTCCCCCTCTGTCTCGCTTATATTGGACTCCATGTCACACCAACATTCCTGCATTTTTCCCACCTGGATGCTTTTTCTCTTGGCATTTTCCTTTCCAGAATGTAGCAATTCTATCAGACTATTCTGTCCTTCTCCACTGCAGGCCAACTGAATGCATCTTTCAAGGCAGTGTTTAAGTGCTCTCTCCTCTATGATGTCATCCTTGATACAGCCAGACAAAATCTCATTGATATATTCTGACAGAATTTTGTGACTTTCTGTTCTTATTCATCATATTCTAGCTTTTATTATGGTTATGCACCTTACTTTTTTTATAGATTCTAGAATCCTTAAGCGTAGAGAAGGTGCTTTATTCATTCCTATTTCTCCCCGTAATCCCAGCACAATACCATACTGATAGTAGGAGATGAAGAAATATCTGTTTCATTCAACTGAACTGAATTTACACTAACTCCTTAGGGAATCCAGTAACCAATATTAAAAAGTTTCAGTGTATTTAATAGACTTTTCTCTCCTCCCCACCCCTTTAAGTGTATTTGGGAAATATAAAACCATTAAAGAAAAATTAGAGGTTTTAAAATTAGTCATGAGCATATTTCTCAAAATGTTGTGATCAAATATTGAAGTAGATAGAAAGATAAACTGGAGTCTGCTTGTGTGTTCCTAAGAATACACATTGGATGTGATTATGAAAAATTACTAGGTAGATGGCTTTGAGGCTAATGATTTCACAAGTTATTTAAATTGTCTGTCATTTAGAAGTGACAGACCTTAGTGTTCCTTCCACCTTGACTGAACTTAAGGCTTTTATCTGAAGGAGCTCTTCAATCTGAAGAGATAAAGTTGTATAACTTTCTTAATAACCACCTGGTACCTGGTAGTGAACTGTGTTCTTCCACTGGGACAAATGCCTTCTAATATTTTATATATTCCTGGTCAGTGACTTAAAAAAAAAAAAACCTACCCAATTGCAGTCTGCCATTCAAAAGGAATATTTCTGCAAAGAAAAAGATGTGAAAATGTAGGCATTCAAGTGAAAATTCAATCCTTCACAGTACAGAGCCTCTGCGAAGTCTTTTAAATGACCCTTTTTATCATGGTGCCATGTCTGTACCTTTCTGAATAGTGAGACCTGGTAAGAAAAATAGATGTATGTATACAAGTGGTTGAGTAATGTATTACTCATATGCACTTTGTTCTTTTTGGCAAACTGACCTTATCAAAGAAAAGAAAGCTATACATTGTGACAAGCTGAGCTTTACCAGAAAGTCTGAATTAGGAGTGCAAGTCCTCTGTCATCTGGATTAAAATGTGATCGGAAAAAAAAAAAAAAAGAATCATCATTTAACCTCTTCAGAAGGGGAGATGCTGGAAAATTGACTTCCTTTTAAATCAAAACCTAAGCTTTCTTATTACATTTGGACTTAGCCATCAGAGATGATTTGCATTAAAACAATTATATTATTTCCTCTAAATATTTGTCCACTTTTTGATGTTCAAATAAACAGTGTTAGATTGTTTGATTATCTATACTTTACAGAGGACTATTATAAGAAGTTTCTCCAGGACAAATGCTGTGCCTTATTTTTTACCTCTGTAGATGACACTTAAATAAAAAATTAAATTTTTGAATTAATATTGTACGGTAATTAGAAGGCCTTAATAATTTTTTTAGGAGCTTGTCCATTCCTGGAACTAGTTTAAAAAATACTATTTCCTCATGCTCATTTAACTCATTTTAGTGAAAATATTAAATTATTTTAAAAATTAGTGAAAGAATAATGAACCCAATTCATTCCTTTAAAAATAAACAGAGACATGGAATTCAAACTTGCTCATCTAGATATCTTTTTCCTTTGTAATAAGCAACCTCTTTTCAAATGAGTACATAAAGATGGACAAAATAATCTGGAATGGATAAAGCCAAGAGGAAAAAAAAAGACATTTTACATAGCACAAAGGCACATAAAACTATTGCTATTTTATTCACAGTAAAAGAGTGTGTGTTGCTGCTGCCCAGTTACTGTGCATGTGAATTCACCAGATCTAGACGTATTTGCCCAATTAATTACTCTGCTGTTCGACAATGATGGGTAATGGTCCAAGCAGCCTGCTCCTCCTCAGATCACCGATGGAATTCATGCACGCATAATGTCCTCTCTTCAGAAAATGATCCCAACAAGCTCTATAATTATTTTTTTCTTTTGAAATAAAGGCATCGATTAAATTATATGTTAAAACAGTTTGTGGGAGAAGAATTGGAAATGAAGCAGGATCTCTCTCTCACTACTTTTCTGGGTAGAAAGCTGGAAGATGAACTTCCCCATTCTACTCTTTCCAGGAGCGAACTTCGATATTAAAAAATAATTGCTGATCAAAATTGTTCATCGTTACCCTTAATTAGTCTGTTGGTTTTCAGTAGTTTTCTTCATTAACACAAATGAAGGTGTGTTCTTCCACGTTCAACGATACATGCTATCCCTCCGTGCTGGTAAGCTTATGATGTAGCAGATCAAACAAAGAACCCTCGTGTACAAATGCACAGCAGTCCCCGTAAACTGGGCTAATTAGCATTGTAATTAGCTCACGTGATAACTAAAACAAAGTCAGAGTAACACAGGAATCACTTAGAAAGGATATCAAGTGGTGTCGTCCCCCTTCACCCGCCAGCCCTCCCGCCCTTGTTTCTAATGCTGGGTAGAGCCCGGAGCCAACCTTCTTCGCAGCTCCCCACTCCCCAGCTCCCCGGCTCCCCACCTCCCCACCTCCTGGTGGTGCAAGCCAAGTTTTCTGCCGAGGCCTGGAAGTTAAGGGATGCGCAGGGCTTGCCTGAGGTTGCCATAGCGATGTTGTTGGGATATTAGTGTGGTGCACTAAATGTTGCCAGTTAAAGGAAGCTTACAAAAACATCTTCCCCCTTTGGCTTTGCTGGAATTGGCTGACAGTTCGCTTTATAAGCATGAGAACTGGAAGCAAGAGTGGAGACTTGGGCTTCCTTTCACGCAGATTTACCAGCTTACTTAGGAGTAAATGTTAAGTATAATTTGTGGAGTTCCACTCACACACTTCTACACCAACATGACTTATAAAACAGAAATCCCTAAATGGGGCCCACATGCCTAAATGGTTTTCTTTGGAATTTTACAATGTAATAATAGCTAAGGCATCTTGCTACTTGATGTGGGATTCTTTCTAATTTTATCCAATTATGAATAGAAGTTCCAAGGCTTTATTCAGAGGAAGTGAGGGCAGAGACCATCAATGAAAATCAAAAAGAAAAATTACCATTGTAGGGGAAAAAAAAGTCAATAATTGGGATAGCACTAATCCATTCTTTAAATAACTTTGTGTCACTTAAGATTAATGTGTTTTCACTCTTTATTATATTTGATCCTTACAACTACCCCGCAAAAGAGATATAGAAAATATTTTCATTCCCATTTTACAGAACAGAAAATGGCCTCAGTGGTTCTGAATGACAGAGAATGTAATCAGCAGACAGCATCATCCTCAGGCTTCTAGTTCAGTGAGGCTTCCATTATGCCAAACTGACTGTGCTTAAGGCTTTCGTTTCTCTTAAAGTCAGTGAGACTGGGCAAGTTGGTCTTTTTTTTTTTTTTTTTTTAATTATTCTTGGTTTAACTTAAACTCAATTATTATTTCTAATTTAAACTGTCTTATTTTAAATTGTTTTAAAGTTATATTTAAGCCCATTTCAGCACAAAAATATCAACCATTACTGAAAAAATTAAATCCATAAGAAAAATATTTTCAAAAAATTCCAATTAGAATCTATATACAAGGTGAGGAAACTGTCAGAGCTGTTAGTAAATGCGAATCATAGGGGCTAATTTTATTATAATACATTTAGCATCGTATAAAATCAGTATCTCTGAGTCATGGTACATCCACATCTTTCTAGTGACAAGAATAGGATTCCCTAAAGCTCTCAAATACTGCAGTCTCTTTTTCTAATACCAGTGTTTCATGCATATTTTGGAGAATTAGATGTGTATGATAATTGCTATACTTTAAAAGAATATTCATGTGATTAACATACATGAAAAGACAAAAATTTTGACCTAACTGATGAATCGATGGTCATTAGGTCTATTTTCACCTCAATTTAGTCTGTTTAATAGAATCTGATCAATTAGTTTCCAAAACAGCAGATCCAGTACTATGTTAGATGTGGCTTAAGTGGAAGGATTAGACTGTTGATCCTCAGGATTGATGGTGAAAGCTTGGTAAATATTCATAAAATGTTATTTGAAATTACCTAACAAATTAATCTGAAAGAAGGAAATAGATACAATATTAGTAAAAACTTATATTTATATCCTGTGTAATATATGAATAGTTTTAATAGAGATGCAAGTTGTTTTTGGTATTTGCCACAAAATTAAGTATAAATAAGTTTGCTCCAATCATAAAATAAAAATAAGGAACCTAAAGATACGCATTTGGAGTGCCTACTGGGAATTACCCGATCCACAAAAAAAAAGGTGTATTCTCTGCTTATACTTTCTTGACCTCATCCCATCAAAAGATTGTGGGAAATTGCAATTTGGGGTGCATTGGCTATTATTTTGTGAGCTTAATTTTGATATGAGAACACAGGAATAAGTGGGCAGAGGGATAATCAATGGTAAGTGAAGGTGAGACTGATGCAATAGACTTGCCTTCCCAGTCTCCAGATTTAATTCGTGTTAGAAATGGAGAAAGGAAAATTCCAATACAGATTTCTTCTTAATTTTCATACTGAAAAAATAATTTTGAACAATGTTTTTTACATAATTTTGAAACTTAAATAAAAAAGACACAGACACAGGCACTAATTTTCAAAACAGGAGAGAAGGGCATAACCTGGCAGTGTGAAGCAGAATATGATATCATGTACTTACCAGTTGAGTGTGAAAGTCGCATTTGACAGATCAGTTCAATGAAGTAATATTTTTTAGGAAAAAAAATCAAAGATGAAAGAAAATACAATTATTACAGTTGAGATATAAAAATATGTCCATCTCTGTGGGGCAAACTAAAATTACGAAACAGTTCCCAAACATAAATACAAAGTAGCAATATTATATATCCAATGTAATCTATTAGATTCACTTTATCATACTGCTGTTTTTATTTTATTATATTATTATTGTACTTCTTCATGATAGTACATTCATTCTCTGCCTTTTCTTTTATTCCCTACATCTGGGTTCTAAGGGAGGGCTTCTTGAACCCCTGAAATTGCATGCAGATTTTTGTGCTCGTGTGCAACAGTATATGCACATTTGTGAGAAGAGGATCCATAGTTTTTGTGAGATAGACTAGGAAGCCTATGACCCCAAATGATTAAGATCCAGTATCCCAATGATTTTTTCTCTTTAAAATTTCTCTGTGCAGACTTTTAGTGCTTCACGCCCCAACTATGCCAGTAACCTCCCAGCTGCCTTCCCGTCCTCCTGCTTCCTTTCTCCAACTCATCCTCTACCATAAATGCCACCAGATCAATCTTACTGAAACATCATCTATATCATATCTCAAATCCACTAAAAAACAAATAAAAAAACAATGATAGCTTTCATTTTACTTACAAGGTCAAGTTCTGACTTCTCATTTTGGCATTCAAATCCATTTCATATAGGGTTCTCCACCACCTCTACTGATAGTAGCTGACATTTACAGGGTGGCGCTAATATGCCAGGAACTGTGCTATGTGCCCTACATAAATGGACTCAAAAAATCTCCCAAATGGCTCTGTAAGATGCTTTGAGACTTCAGAGGTACAATCATCAGCTAGTAAGTGATAGATCCAGAATTCAAACCCAGACAGTTTGACCCTGCATGAGATTTTAGCCATGAAGATTTCTCCTGCCTACTGAATTTACTTCTTGCCAGTATGAACCTTCCTCTCTGGACAGCTGAGAATCCTCACTGTCAACTGAATAAAGCATATTTCTGACCTCAAGCCTTTTTCATACTTCTCCTTCCCCATTCTCCAAGGCTGTACTCAAGTCTCATCTTTAGAATGAATAATGCATTCGTTAGCTCTTCTGTCTTGGAACCGTAGCATCCATAACATTCATTCAGCTACGTCCCTTTGTTACTCATATACAATTCTGCATTACGAATTTTCTCTAACAGGACAGTAAGTGACTGGTGGGCAGGGTTTTGATCTTGCATTTTTTGTTCCTCATCTTTAGCACATAGATCAGTGCCATTCATCAAGTTTGCATTTGAAAAATACTTATTGAGGGAATAAATTAACCTGAACTTCTAGAGAGTGTCATGTTTGAAAAATGATACTGTAATTAGTTCTCTAACATTCTATTACGTCTTGATAAAAGCACCTGTGTATGGTGGCAGGTGGGCTTATGAGCTATTGTTACCATGCTGAAACTGGCTTCCTATGTTTTCTCAGTTTGCCTAGAGTAAATCTGATAGACATTAAAAAGAAACTGCCCAAATTGAGTGCCCCTGTGTGTGCGTGTGGGATAGAGTGGAGGAGAATATTCACTTTCATGTAAAAATGATACAAAATTATAAGAAATGTTAATGCAAATTTTTCCTTTAAATGAATTTCAGTGCTTATTGGGTTAGCTCACTCTCAAGAAAAGGATCAATTTAGTGAAGAATCTCTCCCTGATACAGAGTCAGAACTTCAGCTAAAAGTAGGCCAAGAAAATTCCAAGGATTCAGATTACAAGGCAGCTTGGGAGTGGTTAGATCCTTGGTTCTTTTAATTCTTCTTGGAGCTATGTGAAATAGTACAAGTTTCTAGTGCTGAGGCCAATGTCAGGGTGTCTCATCTTCATATCTCTCAGGCACTGATCCTTCCTCACCATCAGACACTCCAGCATCAACTCACAGAAAGACAACAAGGAAGAAAGGGATCCATCCATATGCTTGAGAAACCAATTCTCTCGGCCAGGCAGAACTGTCTACATTGAAACTCTTTGTTTGCTTCTCTTATATACACAGAACATCTTGTGTCTAGTGAAAACACATATTACACATTTTGTTATCCAACCTTTAGAAAAGTGTGATATGGAAGATAGTTTGTATAATAAATCATATTATAGTTGATCTGAGTAATTATATTATATACATACGGATGTGCAAGTTTATAGTAGAATGCTTTTACTATATTAAAAAACCTTTTGAAATGTCTAAAAGTAACTCATTTTGATGCATCTAATCATTCAGTGGATAACACCCAGGGCTTGGATGCATCACTATAAATGACTCAGCTTTCCTTTTAATAGTTTAAAATGCAGGGCTTGGACTAAATTAGGAATCACTTACATGCTTACAGACGGAAGGCAGATAATGAATGCCTGAAGTAGGCTTGGAAGAAATCTCTCTAAGAAGTACTGAGGACTGGGCAAATTGGAGAAAGTATGCCCTGTCTAAAGAGAATGGCAAATGTTCAGTCCCAGGTGATTTTATCCTGCAAGAAAGAAGACCCACTGTTACAAAACCTTCTAGTTTTTCATGAGAAGCAAGGTTTTTTAAAAATGTGAAATGCCCTGGGTTTTGAATTAAGAAAAAATCTGCTTTTGAGAACTGGGCAGGCCAAACAAAGCATATGTGAGAATGGGTTCTGGCCTAGAAGCTACCAGTTTATTGCTGCAGACTAGACGATCTATGCCTGTTTTTTTGACCCATGTAATGTGTAGTTATATATGCAACTATTTCTTGAGTATGCTGTCTCAAAAATCCCTTAAAATTGAAAATATTCAGTCAACAAAAGCGTGGCTGAATTGAGAACATTTCCTCCTAGACTCTATTAAAAACACTGGAAGATGGAGGAATGGGAACAGTTATACTGTACTGTAACTTCAGCAAAACTTTTCATTCTGGTCCTCATGTTGTGCTCACCTATAAACTCTGGTTAAGATGAACTCTGGTTAAAAATTTCCAAATGAATACAATATTGTGCCCAGAGAAAGGGTCCCAGGGAAAGGTTATCAGACTCCGGACCGACCCAGAAAATGTTAAACAAATAGTATTCTGTGCGAATTAGTCTTGACCTCATCTTGTTTAACAATATCTTACTGACTTATTTATATATTTATTTTATTTTAATTTAATTTAATTAATTTTTTTTTTTGAGATGAAGTCTTGCCCTGCCACCCAGGCTGGAGTGCAATGGCACGATCTTGGTTCACTGCAACCTCTGCCTCCCGGGTTCAAGCAATTCTCCTGCCTCAGCCTCCTGAGTAGCTGGAATTACAGGCATGTGCCACCATGCCCAGCTAATTTTTTGTATCCATAGTAGAGACAGGGTTTCACCATGTTCGCCAGGCTAATTCAAACTCCTGACCTCCTGATCTGCCCGCCTTGCCCTCCCAAAGTGCTGGGATTACAGGCGTCAGCCACCGCAGCCGGCCCACTGACTTACATGACAGAATGGCATGTTGCTTATTATTCTAAGACTGGAACTGGACTTGATGAGCTGCCATCCACCTGGCTCAGTCTTAACTGTTGAATAGGGTAGCTCCTCTTTGGAGCATTCTGCTAGGTACCTTAGAATGATATCATGGAAAATGTAAAGAAATGAAAATTGCTTCCACTTTAAAGATTTTGGATATTACTTAAGATATCAAGCATATATGTGAAATAAAATAACAAGTTTATTGTATAAACTGATATGGTAGAAATTAGTGCCGAGCGGTGCCAAGACAGAGGAATCCAATCAAGTGAGGTAAACTACCACAAAGTCCCAAGAGGTCAGTGCGAATGTTGTATGGACTTTGAAGAAAGTCTGGTCAGGTGAGGCAGAGATAAACAAGGCATGACATGTCTACTGTGTTTTATGTTTAAAGTAATAAGAAGAATGAGTCATGTGCAAAATTCTCTAGACAAATGAGATAAGTGGCAGCAGATATGAACAAGGGGAAAATGGCACCATTCCACAATCCATAAAATGGAATAATTATATGAATATGTCAGAGAATAATTACCAAATTCATCCATTAGAGTTTGTTTTCATATTGTATTAAATCCAGTTTGTTAGCATCATGACCCCTGATTTCTACCAAAATTGAATGCTTTGATTATTGACATATCTGATAAAAGTTCTGTTTCTGCTTTTGCTAAGAAGTTAATACTATAAATATACTGTTACTTACACATCCAAATTTTGTTCAATTTAAGAAGCATATAGGAAAAGAAACAGGCTTTATAATCAAGTGATATGCATAAAGAACATGGGACAGTTTCTGACTCACATTAGTGATGAGCATGGCATGGAGGAATGATGTGTAGTAAGATGAAGCAGACATAGATTTGAATTTATTTTGCCATTTGATAGCTGGTGACCATGGGCAAGTGATCCAAATTCTGTTAGTCTCAGTTTCCTTATGTGTACAATATAAATACTTCCTAATTTGTGAGATTATTCTAAAGATGAGCAATAAAAAATACAAATTATGGCAGATGGCTTTGAGTAGCAGCTATTATTATTTAAATGATCAGTATTAGCCATATAATAATTTTCAGTTCCTTTGTAAAATTTGTGAACACTCTAGCAATGAATCAATTTCTATATTGCTATTGTAATGAAGACAGGATATTATTCTTATGTTAGGAATTTGGGGTCTAAAACTGTAAGAAGTAAAATACTTCCTAAGTTTCTTTACCATAAATTTCTAGGCATTAACAAGTTTAGTCTTAGCTGTTACACATATATACTCACATTTCTACCACTTATAATCAGATGTTTGCTGTTTAAATCGATGTGTTTTTTGATACAAAGAAAAAAAGGAAATTCCCCCAAGGATTCTTGCAGAAAATTAATCAGCTGATTTCTAAACTTCACTGTGATTCAGAATGCCTTGTTGAGTCTTGAACACATGTATTGTTTTAATAAAGCAGATGCTTCTATGTGGGGGCATGGTTTTCCACTCTGTTTCATTTAAGAGGCAGACAGAATGGGATACTGCTGCAGCCTAGCTGTGTAACCTAAAAGAGAAATACAGCCCAAGAGAAGTGAAAGAAAGGGATCTAACATCCAGAATATCTGCCTTTAAGTGCAGCATTAGGTAGAGAGCACCTGACCAATGACATTCATTAAGAGATGTCCATACACCAAATATACTCCTACACATAAAAGGGAGGAAAGGACTCCCTTAATTTGTGTTTATGAGACTGCAAATCGTTCCTCCAGAAAATACAGAAAGACCCTCCCCCGGGTATATAATATAAATGCCAAAGTTAATTAATTCTATTAATTCCATTAAAAACATTATGAATAAAAACTGAAAAATTCAGATATCTCTATCATCTATCTATCTATCTATCTATCTATCTATCTATCTATCTATCTATCTATCTATCATCTATATCTCCAGGGAAACTTAAGATAAAAATAGACACAATGAAAGAAATGCAAAATGTAATGCTTATATAGAATTGTTTTCATCTGCATTTCATTCTAACACCTAAAGAATGAGCCAAATTATCTTATCCTGGGAGAGATCATGCTTAAATTATGAAGACTTTAATATTTTCTTTATCAAAGCTATTTTCTATCATAATTCAAATTTTCCTTTAGTCTTATAGATGGAGCTTCTTTATTTCACTTCATGAAGAAAGGATACAAAAAATTATCTACATAAGCTTAGTAAGATTAAAACATACAAATTTTAGTCCATCAAAAATGGTAGATGCTTGTTTTTTAATACTTGTGGATTTCTCACTTTTCAGTACTTTTGACTATCAAATTCAAGTTTTCAGATAAGCCAAGTTGAGCAGCCTGTGGCCTAAAAAATCAACTATACATATCATAAAGCACCATTTTTTAATCATAAAGCTACAAACATCTGCACTGATTACAATTAAAAACAGTGTAAAAGATTATCACTCCAATTATAGCTTCTTGTTCTAATCAAAACGCAGCACTGTCCTCAGACAGCAATGTGTGATGCCTACATGCCTTTTTCTATGAAATAAAACCTCCCTGAGGTTTTTTTCCTTTTCTTTGAAACAAAGAATATGTATAATTGTAGTGAATTTATCAGAAAAGTAGCATTTTACTCAGATATATTTTTTAAACTGTTTGGAAGTCTATTTTTCTGTCTATGTGAACCTATTTAGAAAAAATGCAGAAAAGCACTATCATGCTACTCAACAAAGAAGTTTCCAGCTTTCTAAAGTTTTTCTGAATATTGTTTTAAGGAACACTGCTGTATGTGGTTCTCAATAATATTGACATTAAAATTGGTAGAAACACTGCTGGATTTCAATTAAAATTGGACCAATATTACTTAGAATTTTATAAGTAGCTTCTTTTTACATTTGAAAATAAAATCAAATTTCATATATAATAATTATTAGAAAATGTAATAAAAGTACAGTTTTAAAATTACCAGATAATGTCTTCAGATAAGAAAATTATAGTTAAAATATCAGTTTTAAAAAATCACCAACCAGTTGATCTACTAGAATATATATAGATATCATCTGTAAACATTTATTGTTTAAGATTTCATATTGCCATTCCAAGAAAAAATTGGAAAAAAAAATGAGCATTTTGTGTAACATGAATTTTTCCCTATGGTTGTTTGAAAGGCGAAAACCCAGACTTGACCTCTCTTTAAGAAAATTTATACTAAAATTAGTACAAAGTAGAAAAATCAAAGAACATTCTTTCTGATTCAGCATTTTTTTAAAAAGCATCCTTACTTTAAAATATTTGCTCATAGTCTAAATTAAATGATGAAATATAAATGTTCAAAAAGAACACAGCAAAGGCAAATAACATCATACTTATCAGAGAAATGTTAAATTCAGATTTTATGAATTTTTGTTTGTTCATAATTGAATCCTTGAAAGTGAATTTTTAATATAAACAAAAAAACAAAATTATTTTCCACTTGTATATTACTTATAATGTTTGAAAGGTTAAATGTGCACACCTCTTCAACAAGTACTAAATTAATTTACTAAATCCCTTCAAGTAAGGATGTTTGATTTAAAATATTTATCAGTCTTTGAACACCACATGTATAGAGAAAGTCGCAACTTGTATTTCTTATTGATTCCCAAACGCAATAAAATACATGGGGTCTTCAAAATTCCTATTAGTTTCCCACCAACAGCCCCTTTTATTGGTGATTTAGAAACTTTAATCCTGGTTCATGACTAATACTATGCAGATGTTTGTTATACAAATATAGAAATTAGCTTCTTTGTATCATTAAAAGGTATCTCAATGAAAACACCGTAAATTTAATTTTTCACATTATCCAAAAAGGAAACTATATTTTCAGAGTATAAGAGTTTCCATCTGTAGATATAATAAATGTAATATTAAAATGTGTGACTCAATGGTATCAAAAGGGAGAATGCCTAGGCCTATGAAATAACTCTCAAATAGGAAAAGAATGAAACGTCATTTTGGTTAAGTAGACTTTACACTAGTTGAAGATTGATTCATTAAGCAAAGTTCAAGCACACTTTCTATTCATATAAATAGTGTGTATAATGCCATTTTGCAAAGATGACAGTGGAAACTTGTATTTCTGAGAGTGGCTAAAATAGCTTGTAAACAGTATCTTTGCAATTTGACATTCCAAGTGCTGCTTGCAGGGCAGCACATCTGAGGGTTGGTAGGGGAAGAGTATCTGAGGATAGCACTATTTTGGGTGTTTCCAAGAAGCAGAAAGTTGGTTCTTTGATTTTATTACCTATTATTGTCTCAAATTAGAATGCCAAAGGGGGCATTTTATTAAAATAAAAGCCTGATGAATACAAGCAAAAAAAAAAAAAAAGCTTCAAGCCGTTGAGAAATTTGAAATCAAAACAGAAATTTTAAAGAAAAGTATGATGTGAAAATAAAGGAAAGTAGAGAAGAAGAAAGGAAAGAGATGTAGCAGATAATTAGACAAAAGTGAAAGGAAGGGCCCTAGTTCTGAAACCACTTCCGCTTAAACCAAAATGGCACCAAAAATTTTAAGCCAGGGTATTTAAACTGCTGGAATATTTCATCCTGAAAAATTATATTTTTCAAGCAAAATAACTACTTTGTGTCCAAATTCTCTGAATAATTATGGCAATTTCTCTCTTCTATTTGCACTTCCATTTGCATTATAGGCACTACTTAAATACAAACAGGAGTGGCTCACTGAGATCACAGAAGAGAGACTTCTCACAAAGCCGCTAGATGGCGTGAGAGCACTGCATTGGACCTGCTCTGCCACACGGCCGCGTGTAACATTGAGGCGTTTATTCTCTTCACGCTGAGAGCTCAGTGTTTAGTCAAGTAAGACGCGTTTTCTTTCAGAGAGATCTTTCTGTGTTGCATGACACTTTTTAGGACACAAAGGGGGTATTCCGCCCTCCCCATACACACACTAAGAAAATGTCGAATTAAATTTGGAATAGTAAAAATCATTTCAGTATTTACTGGGGCTTCCTGAGAACTTTACCTTTCAGCTCTTTAGGGGATAGTCTGCTATTTGTTATGCAGCCTTCCTTAATAGGTAGTTATAGGGAAAAAGTCCCTTCAGCATTATGCCTGTGCTCAAACAACTGCAGACAAAGTTTGCATATTCTCAGTCATCCCCTCTCTTTTTCCTGATTTTTTTTTCATCAAAAATTCTCTTTGTTTTTCTTCATCTGATATTGTGGGGTCCCTCATTAAGGACTGTAATATGAAAAGCTGGATTTAAAACTGCTGTCAAAAAGGAGGTTGTCCTCTTTTAATATTCTTTACCAGCAAAGCAAAAGGAAATGTCTTTGTTCTTGCTTTATAAATGCAATGTTTTTTGCTTTATTTAATGTTTCTGCCAGATCACTAGGCACCTTCTAATCTACCCTCCCAACTTTGAGATATACTTTTATATTTGGTCTTTGCAGATTCCCAATACATGCATGAGGCATCTCTCTGTGCCTCCACAACAGGACTAATTACCATATTCCTCCAGATATTATCACTATCTCCCTTCACAAAGTGTCCAATGTAAAAGCTGTTTTGATCTTTCAGATAAGTGCCTTAATTTAAAATAATAGCAAAAAGGTAAAATTAGGCCTCTATGCTCAGCAGTGCATGAATGACAAATCTGTTGTAGTTTGGGGTATATTTTTAAAGATTCCTTTTAAAACCTCTTATAGCAAATTTACATATGATCAAAAATGATATTACACATTGGCGAACTGAAGTGCATAATTTACTTCATATGCTACTGATATAGTTATGTTTATACGTATAATGGGTTTTACAGTTTTGGTATAATATCATACCAGTTCAAAAACTGAAAGATTTTTAAAAGCATTTTTTTTCAGTTTTTATCCACCTCTGAAAAGTTATTTTTTTCCTGTATAGTGTCTCAGAGCAAGATGTATCATTTTTAATGTACACTTTTAGCCCTAATATCCATGAATTTATGAAAACCGGAGATTTTATGAGGGCATTCAACTAAAATATTTGTCAAAATAAGAATTCAATAATGTAGTTATACCTCTTTAAAATGCAAATATTGGAGAACAAATGGGCAACTTGGCAAAACTTGCTTCATAGTGTTACATTTTTGTTTTTACCCTGTGTAGTTCTGGTTTATAAGAACATGTTAATTTGTCATATTAATAGATGAAATGAGTCATTTGGATTATGTTTGAATTGGTTCTAATCTTTGATATCATGAAAATCTTCACTTTGGATATAAGCTCCCTAAATCCATGACTATTATTATACAACGTGTTGCTATAAAGCAGACAGATAGATAAAGATATCTTGAAATAGGAGCTCCATGTGTGCACAGCTGATTTTTTTTCCTCTTAGACATTCTATGTAATTCATAGTAACAGGTTAGTCAATTGATCATAAGGAATGTAAAACAAGACAAATACTTTAATCATTTTGAAGTCAATTATTCTATATACAGATCTAAAACAATTGCTAGAAATATAATTTTAGCTGGTTGTGAACGGCCACTAAGCTTTTTCGTGACAACTGACTGCTTAACATCAGTGGGACATTAAGTTACTTTGTGCTTGAAAATCCACCAGGGAGTGTATATATGTGCTCTAAAGCTGCCCACTCAGTTCTGTTTGATCACTTGCAGAAAACCAATAGCTTCTCACTGATGCTGAGAGGAGTATTGCCTCCATAACGGATTATAATGAAATATTTCAATAAAAACCCTTTTTAAAACTTATTTTTTTTTAAATTTGCACTTCCATGTGAATAAATGACTGAACTCCATAAAATGAGTAAACAGGACACTTTCAAGTGTTCATGGCAGAGAAGTGATAGGGCAGAAGTGAAATAGACTAATCTTTTTTGGTTCTTTTTGTATTTGTATGTCCAAAGAGTTTGATAAAATTTGCGACACAACCAGAGATGCAAACAACCAGAGAAAAAAGAATAGAAAATGTTGTAAATGCTTTTGTAGATGCAGTAGGCGAAGCAGAAAAATTCAAATTCAAATTATATTTGGAGTCACACCAAGCAGATGTAACTAGTATTTGAAATTATTAGTAATGCATTGTATTCTCATTTGTCAATTAGTTCTCTGTAATGTCGGAATTCATAAAATATAAAAGAAAATCTATTGATCAGAATCTCACTTAAATAACAAAACGTTTGTTTTATTTTGTTGTTCGGAGAAAGTCTTTTAATATTGATTGGCTTATTTGTCCAGGTTAATTGAATATCAAATAATTTAATAATTAAATGTTCAAATAGCTGAATATTTAAGCATTAAGCTAATTAAGTATTGATCCCTGTGATAATAAATAACATTAAATAGCAGAGTTGTGATTATACAGAAATAAGCTCTTAAGTTTTTCTCACCTAGAAATTTTTTGTTTCATGCTGTAGTGAAGATTCTACAAAGTCATTGTATATTTTTAAGAAAAACTAAAAAGAGACCCACCAATAATTTGGAAACTGTTAATAAAATAAGTGTACTTTCTTTTAAAAACTGCAAAATTACCCTTTTGTAGACCAGAATATCATGTTTGAATTACATCTTTTAAAATAAAAATCTTGTTGGAACAAATTAGGAAAATAAGGAGGTTTTAAAGAAAGCCAGAGAAAGCATATAACATCTTAATGTGACTGAAATTAATATCTCTTTAATATGAGTAATATAGAAGAAATGGTTTTTTTAAATCCCCCATTGATTTGGGGAAGACATTATACTTGATTGTTGACTATTTCATTTAATTCCTTCACACAAACTTAAGTCAACTATTCCAAAAATCAAGAAAACTTTATCAACATAGTATATTAATTCTAGTTTTCCAAGTGTTTTCACAAATGTCTTCCCACAATGCACTGCCCTAAGTATTTAATCTGTGACCAAGGCTGGGTCACCAATAAGACCAAAGTGATAGCCACAATCTCCATTTCCATGTGCAGTCTCATCAGCCTCAGAACGCTTAGTTTTCCACCAGTCTCCAGTTACAAAGGGCTGCATTCCCACTTTTATGGAGTACAAGATTAAACACATAAAATAAAAAAGTAAAATAAAATAAAGTGCACTAAAACCAAATGGCAGATATTTGAATATAATTAATGTTGGACTTCTATTATTTGATTACACTAAAGATAATATGTGTCTTTGTTCCAAGAATAATATGTCTCTTTCCTCCTTCTCTTCTCTTTGCTGCTTGAGTGAATTGTTTATAAACATGTAACATTCTTCTGAAATGAACTGGGGATGGGGGAGAATGAGAAAGAATGAAATAGAGAAAGAGAAACAGAGAAAAGTGAGACAGAGACAGAGAAACAGAGACAGACAGAGGGAAAAGGAGGAAGGAAGACAGAATTCAGATCATCTGGAATCCAGAAATCTGATTCTGCAGGAAATACGATAGGAGGGCCTATACTACTTTCAAAGGTTAGCTTTAGTTAACCACAGCAACATACAATTCTATAAACTCTTCTGTCTCGGTTTCTTTCTCTCTTTCTCTCACATAGACATATGTGCACACATAACCACACACACACAGACTCATACAGGCCTCTGCCCCAAAATGAAATAAAGAGGGATGTATATTGCTAATCCTCAAAAACAACCATTTGCACCTGGGGTTGGCAATGGCACCAAAAAGCCAACCACTTTTTCTACATTACAGTTCATTAAAATGCCACTGACAAGTTATGTCTTTACAGGAAACAAAACGTATCCTGTTCCTTAAGGAAAATCCAGATAACTAGAACCAATACAAGCCCTTACCCCAGTTTGCTAAATGGGCTCAGGCGAGATGGAGGAACAGCCTGAAACACAAAACCATTATGTGAAAAATAACATTAGTAATTAATCTGATTGAATATTTAAAGCAACATTTTTTTTGAAGTCATCAAGATGTTTTTCCAATCTTCATCAGTCCTCCAGATTTTTATTATTTATTGAATGATCACACAATAATAATATCCCCAAGTATATAACCCATGAGTATATTGGTGCAGATCAAAATGAAAAAAATCTGCTAACAACTTCATCAGGAATCCAAAGGCTTAGGTAGAATTAGAATTCAAGACATCAAAAACCTCAACAACCTATTTAATCCTTTAACCACTAGGCCACACTCTCTTTCAAAATTGTTAATAGAAACAACATTGCCCTTTTTGTACAGCTGTAGATGCCCTATTGATCTGTATCACATAGCATTTAACACTGGATGATTTGGCTAGGAAAAGCAATGTTCACTGTTCCATGGCAAATCAGACAACAATGCTAAGATTTGCTATAGAACCAGGAAAATAGCATAGGAGATAGGGAAACAACAGCCACACAGAACAAACCTCATTTGCACGTTTTTCACAGCTATTTTTTACTCCATAAGAAAGCAAAGTAGTAGAGTGCAATTGTATTAAAAGTAAAACTATTTCTGCCTAACGCAGATGTGGATCATGGGAATGGAAACCTAATAAACCAACAGCTGAAGGCCACATTATTGCCCTATCCTCCTCCCCTAGCTCATTTAGAAAATGACATGTTTTTCTTCACAATGTTTTTCCCCTCCTCTCTTTTTAGTGGCAGTAATGCTGAATGCTCTTGACATAATTCTTCGTTCACCCCTGACAGTCATTTTTTTGAATACTATCCCAGCAATAAAACACCTGACCTCGAGTCTTTCAAATGGCCATTGGCTTAGGTTACCCCAATTAGCCAGACTCATTTGGAAGTATCCAGAGGAGTCAGGTGCATCACTCTTCACTAAACTCAGCATTCGGAGCAAACACATCTTTTTTTAGGTCAATTTATTTTTCTAAGGGATTTTTCTATTCCTCTATGATCTAAACATAGAAAAATAACAGGTTTAAAAAATAATCTACAAGTATGTAGAATTCCGATACCAATATTTCTGCCTTGGAAGTCATATAGGGCAACATGCCTAGTTCCCTGAAAGTTGCTTTTCAATATTTAAGGATAATTGAGAGAATTAGGTGTACAAGCATCAATGGAGAGCGATTTTATTTACATATAAGGAAGCTACATGTCTGCATAACTTAATGAAAAGACATACACACTTTGTGCACAGCATACATCTGTGATATCTGTATGTTTGGGTCAATGTATTTTTGGAGTACAGATCTCCCAAATCAATAGCTCTTTATTAGAATCCCCTTAGGTGGAGAAGAAAATGTGTACCTCCAGAGATAAAAGTATGTTTATTACATGTTTGTGTGTGTAATTAAATGTAGGATTTTGCCTCAGGAATAAAGCTTGGACTAAATATAAATAATAATTAACTGAGGCTTCTTAGAGAATTTTGGCAAAGGAAAATGGATATTTTCAACATAAATGAGATATGAGAAATTAAAGGTATATTTAAATTATACTAAAGGCAGGGCCCTTTAATTTTCAAATTATTAAACAATTAAAATTTTAAATTATTCTGAACTAAAATGCATGTTTATGTTATGTTTCTGATACAGCAATCTCTTTGCTCCGTTTATTTTGTATTTAATATTTATCAATAAGTACAAGACTTCCTAACAAATGTATAATTTTTTTTCCATGAATCTTTTAGAATTTGTGTGCGCTACACAATTTTGTCACTTGGCACATTTTTATTCCTTCTTAAAAAGGACAAACCATGAGAATCCTGATAGACTATACTTGAAATAAAATAGGAAGTCCACACAACTGAAGGTGAACAAATAATGCAGGCTGAAATGAGTATCTCTTCGAAAGACTACAAGCTTCCTTTTGACATTCAAGCAATTCAGTAAGGAGGGAAAGCGAAATTGAATTTAGCCGATGCAAATGAAATTAAAACTAAATTGGTTGTCACATCAAACTGATGTTAACTATGTAAATGTTTTCTGTTTATGAAACTACAGTTTAGAGTATATAATTCTGCAAAAATAAGAATATTTTTGTGTTCTTTTAAAATATAAATTAAAAGGGCAGATTATGAAATTGTTTAAAATCCTTGCCACTTACCCACGTAATATCAAAGGACCTATGAATCATGAAAACTGTGGACATAGAGTATTGAAATAAACATACACATATAGATATGCACATCAATACACATGCATGCTTTTCTGGCCAAGCAGTACCCCATTACATCATTGCTTCAAATGCATTCATTCTCTTCAATATTGTTGGCTGTTTCAGGTTAACTACCAAAATCATTTGCCTGAGAAGCGAGATTTAATTGTCTTACAACTACCTCTGTGAGGTACAATAGGGATTACAAGTACCCATTGATTATACTATTGGGTAGAATAAGGGACTCTTATTCTAGCATTTCTCATTCATTTTGTCATTGCATTCTCTTTGAAAGAGACCAAATGGGTCCCAGCAGGTGAAAGCAAAGAAACCTGAAAGGCCCCCTTTGATGAATGACAATACCACAACCACCCTCCCCCCCACCATTTTTGGAGATTATAAAACCTTATTAAGTCATGCCCTGTTAGATATTGATTGAGAGGGAGCTAAACTAAAACCAACAATAGCAGCATGGATCAGAGAACACTGCTTTCATCAATGGGCACTAAACACAGCTAAGCTTTCCAATCTTTTCTGGGGGGGCAGGGTGGGGGGACTTTTTTTTTTACTATTTACTTTTGTTTAAACCATTATCCTAGAAAGTCATACAATTATAGCTACTTTGTCAGTTAAGAATAAATCGTAGTTGTCTAGCACTTCATCTTTTTGAATGTAGCAGTGTATTGCACAAACAATATTATACTTGGTTAAGATTCAGGATTATTATTATGATTATTGGGGGGTGCAATTCTGGGTAATTATCATAATTATTCTTGACTCTGGGACTCCTTTGATGACAACGTTGCTTTAAAGTAAACCACTTGGACATAAAACCCAAGATATTTGAAAAGAGACTGCTGCCAGAATCAGAGTTGAAAACTCACCCATATTTTAAAGCTATCTTGATTATCAGGCTGTTTGCGTTCCTGGGCTGTCTTTTCTGCCATCTGTGAGCGCCACAGCAAACAACCCCTTTATGACAATCACCTCAGTATAACTTGAATATGTCTGCTTTAGAGGAGACTTCTGTAATAAGACTCTGTGCTAATTAACTGTCAGCCTTTTTAAAAAAATAAATAAATAAATCAGCAGACTGCATTTTAGAAAGACACTCCACCAAAAAATTCCCAAACAAGATTTAAGTTTATGTGCCAGACTGTAACTTCTACTCCATGTTTTTTCAGGCCTTCCTCTGAGTAAATCTGTTTACTTTAAATACTTCTCATGTGATAAAGGTTTTCATTTTTCTTGCCAGTTGACTACAGGTAGTAACATTTGCTCCTCCTTCTAAACAGCTACTTGATTCAGTAACGTTATCCTCCAAAAATAAAAGAAGACAAAAAAGAAAGGAAAAGGAAGGAAAGGAAAAGAAGGAAGAAAGAAAGAAAAGGAGGGAGGAAAGGATGAAAAAGAGAGAGAAAAGAGTCAGGTGTAAAAAAAACTTTTTTTTTTTTTTTTTGGCCAGAAATGGTAGTTACATGGCAAAAAAAAAAAAAAAAAAAAAAAAAAAAGAAAAAAGAAAAAGTAAATTAGGGTTGTTGCTATTGAAAACAATAATAGTTAAAAGGGCCAGACACTAAAATTATTAGTTTAATATTAAGGATAAATAATTTCTAGTTCAAGAGAAAGAATTATTTGTAGAAACAGCATTATATTCACTGAAAATGACTTTTTAAACAGTCTCTAGAAACCATAATTGTCTTGGAAGAATATAGGAATCAAGGCTTATACAAAACAGACACAGACACTTAAAAATTCATCTTGGTGAACTCTTTCCTACATACTGGATAAAACCAGTAGTAACCACTTGAAAATAAAGCATTAACAATAATATTCCTCTAAAAATATAAAACATAAGAATGAATGCAAAAGTTTTTATTTTCTTGTTAAAATCCACCTTGAATAATGATTCTCCAAAATATACACAAGAAATACAATTTTTAAGTTGAATATAATAAACAGAAAATAAAAACAATACTAAATTATTTTATGTTTTAGGCAAAATTTCATCTCTTCATATTGTATAACTTTTTTACTTAATTTTCAAAGATTTAAATTGCGTTTATAAATTAGATTTTATTATTAAATTATTTTTTTAAGTACTCAAAATGTTACCTAATTGTTAATCAATATTTCCCATTTGTAGGGTCTCCTAGATTTGTTAGCTTAGACTTTAAATTTAGACATTACATTCTTTCAACATTTTTAAACATATGGCATTAAATATTATAATTTATAAATTTTGTTTTGTATTTTTATTTCAACACCTTCCTAATGTCATACTTTGAATGCAGATTTAAATAAAGTATTTAAATATTTAAATCAATATATCGAATTTGAGTAGAACAGTTAACTAACAAAAAATTGCCAAGTTATGTGTTGGATGATAGTTTCCTTTTAAAATATGATGTTGTGCATACATTTTTATAAATGCAGCAATTCAGTTGAAAAGTTTTAACATTTGTATATGCTAGCTGATACAGATAATTAAACAACAGAATCTGTTGCTAATTTTATTTTCATTAGATTTGATTTTTTCAAGTGGGTATCACCTGTTAATTTTGTACTGATTAGTTCAGTTCCTTTACTGATTTGTGTCTCTTAAAAGAAACCTGAGAGTTAGTCATTTACTGTATGAAAAATTTTTAATTCAGTCATCAGTTGGCAATTTTAGACTGCCTTGTATCTTAGGCAAGTAACTAGAATGTAAAATAACTAAGTTGCAATAATAGAATTTTTTAGTGTCTATAAAGTACATTTTCTGTTTTCCATTTTAAAAAAGTGCTGTAATGTTAATTCTTCTTTAGATTGCCCAGAAATAATAAAGCATAGTAGTAACAAAAATATCAAAATTTTGTTCAGTACCCTCACTGAACTAATAATACTTAAGGTAGGCCAAATCTTCACACTGTTATGTAGTTGGAGGTGTCTTTCCTGAGTACTTTCTCTTGTATCACATTTAAGAATTGCAAACAAATTAGAAATTGTTTTAGCTTTAACACTAAAATATAATAATAATTCTAATCCCTATCACTTTCCTTAAAATTGAAATGTAATTCTGTTTTGTTATTTTATTATGTAGCCTTTTGTGATCAAATTACATATAATCTCTGAGTAATTTCCATGATCTCTGACTAGAATTTCGTATGTTTAGATATTCATAAAACAACAATGCACTGTACCCAAATTGGTACTTATTTAGCACTTTTAACAATACTATAACATTATTTGAATCAATTTGTATTAGAAATAGAGTAAAAATGAAAAGTGCCACATATTTTACCCAATTATTTCAAACTGTTGATAATACAGAAAGCAGACTATTTTATAGAATTTTATTCTCTATGCATAATCACATTTTCTTCTGAAATTACTCATTTATCAAAGTGTTAAAGAAAAATAGAGATTTTTCTTTTATATCTTCCAAAGCCTCTCGAAAGACCAACTTGCAAAATTATAGTGATGTATATACAAAGTGTTATTTCCTTCTACCTGAAGAAAACATTACCTCAGTCTCATGCATATGACATCAAAATAAAAATTGAATGTTTGTTTTAAATTGAATAACCATGCCAAAAATAGTCTAAATGTTATTAGCATCTAGTCCACAAAATAGTTTCAGTTAGATTAAATATGATTTTTCCCCTAGTGATATATGTTATATTCATGTTATTTTGGTGGTGGGTGGGGGTAGGGAGGAAAAGCTATTTCTCATTTAAGTTGAAGTAACATTGTTAGTAAGATAAATTTTAGTTCAATGAAATAGATATTGGATTTTTGAAATTGAATTTGTAGTAAAATTTTAATCATCTCTTTTCATACACGTCTAATTCATAATGATAACATTTATTTGTGGTAGATTCAGTGGACCACATCTTGACAGAATGTTTCATTTGTCATGCCTGAAGTTGGTTAAGTATCCAATATAGTGCTTTCTACTTAGGGTTCTCTGCTTTCAGAATGTTACTTTCCTTGAATTCTATTTTTGAAACATTTAAGAAAATTTAATTTCCCAGGATGGGAGATTTTACAATATTTCTCTCTTGGTACTTTGTAAAATTTTGAGATTGCCTGACTTTGTCCCTGGAGCTTTCATGTGAAAATATTTGGATGTACTCAGCTATAGTTTCCCTAAGATTCAAAGATTCATTGGGGAGAAAATAAGCTATTAGTAGGACTCTTTACAGTTTCATCAGAATATCCAAGGTTGTGTACAGAAGCTGAAGGCTTTCTTTTGACCTGATAAGGCCTTCCAGTTCAATCTCAGCCCATATTCACAAAGTACATGCATTAGTTTCCTCATTCAGCAGAGAGAAATTGTAAACATCTGTTGAGAATATTCTGAGATGCCAAACTACTTCTTGGAATATTTTAAAAGTAAAGTCAAATCACCTTACATTCAATCTATATGTTAAAGTCCTAGCTCCGATTGGAGATTTCATTGGAAAGCCAGTTAGCAACATTCTTTCTCTGTTTCTCCTTACAAAGTAACTGACCACGAAGCAATGTGACATGTTAAATGATGTTTTTTGCAGCAGCTATCCTGAAAGCCTATACACGTGTTTCATTGAAGCCACTGGACTCCTCCCTCTCCAATGCTTAAAACATCTGTCAAATTCTTCTTTTGGAATAGCCTTCAAAGGGCGTTTATTAGCTGCTAGAAAAATATTCTTATTTTATATGTTTCATTTTTAAATCCAGAGCAGAAATATCTATGTTCAGCAGACTTAACTCTGTATCAGTTTCCCAAAGCCAGATCTTCCTTTATTGGACAAAGATTTTCCATTATAAAAAATGTTCGAAAGAGTGAGCAGTGGCTTCTAAAGGCAATTATCAAAAGAGGACATTTAATGCTGGTTAGAGCAATAGTAGCATCAGAAAACAAGTACTTAATATTTGGCAAGATGACCCCTTTGAAGCATTTGATTTTGATGACTGTTAGGTTATATTAATTAAAATAATCAGTCACACCACCCTATAGTCATATCTCAAATATCTTCCTGTCCTTTAACAAGATCACAGGCTCTTGCACCTCTCCGTGGAATACAACTTAAAAATGTATACTTCATGGTCACAGTCCCTTTGGATATAGGGTCTGAGTAACAAGGCCTCTTTGTTTATATGCACAATATGTAAAATGTAAGATAAATCTTAATATACAGACTAATATTTAACATCTTTTTGATAACACTGAATCATCACACTTGAATTCTATTTTTAATCTAGGCAAGTTCAAATTACAGGAAAATATTGGGTCTAAAAACACACAAATTTAGAATATAATAATATGAACAATAGTTAATGTATCAATATACATGCACCCAAATTTAAAATTTTGTTTTTAAAGTAATTATATACACCAGTGCTTAAGTGTTTTCAAAGGGCTGGAAAAAAAACTTTTCCCTTGATCAGGGATTTACATCTAAAAGTAAACTAATAAGATCAGTCACCAGATGATTTTAAGAACAGTTGTTTTACATAAGTATTTTCTTTAAAAATTCAATAACATGTTCAGTTATGGATAATTATATATGTGCCAAATTTTGAGTTTCTGATTTTCTTTTAAAGTTAAATTTCTCTATTGTTAATAAATACCATATATTTATGAAATACATTTTTCCCTTTTGAAAATTCTGCTACTGTTTTGTCAGTGCAATTTATCACAGTGAAGTGGCAACCTGATACACTTAGTATGTGGTCATTTCTAGTCATGCTGAGCAATATAGGTAGGTGTACTCTAGAATCTTTGTGCATAACTCAGTATGTCTTGCCATTATGAACTAATTATTTCAGTAGAAAAGATTAAAATGAATTCAGGTTTCTGTGTCTTAATTCAGCAATGGTATCTTCTCAGAGTGTTAGTCAGATATAATTTCTTAAGTTTCAGAAATATCTACTCCCTTGAATTTCTGGAGGATGCCCAAAGTGAAATCATAAGCATCATGACCATGAGAAACTGTATTAAACACATGCTGGAAACTTCATTCCTCTCTGATTGATGAATGTATCTCTTTTTTGTATGGTCAACTGATTTTTTTCTTATTTATAATAGTACATTACTGAAGATTTTTATGATTGGCTATAGATTCTCAATCACTGGTTTTCTCTGTCAGGAAAAATCATTGTCTTTAATTTTTGCTGCTCTGAATTATTATTTGAGATTATTCCTTCACTGTATAGTTAGTATATAGTATTTTATTTGTATATTATGTCATGGTTTAGAAATTAGTTCTTCCAAGCTTTGCTTAACCAAAAGATTTTTTAGTGAGTTCCTCCTCCAAATTTGGCTGCAGCCTCTTGGGTCGTTTTATTCTCTTTTGCCTTGAATAAGAATCTAATGCTGAATATTTTTAATGGCTCGGAAAAAATACCCCTATAAAACTCCATTTCTGATTACTGCAATTTATAGATTACTGTGACACATTCAGCTTAGAAAAAGAATGCTGGGTTGTTTGAGAAAATGTTCAACAGCAAAATAAGTTAGATCTTATCTTTACAAACTAGAATATATCTTTGCTTTCCTAAAATGCTAAAATAACAGGCACATTTACTCAATGATTAAGAAAAAATAGAGAATAAACAGTGGGAATATAGAGACATATTTTCCTTAGGATATTGGACTTATCCTGAGAAAAGCATACAGGGCAGTTACCTGGAGCTGGCAGATGACACGTTACCCACTTTCTCTGGTTTCTTCTGCTAGTTGTATAGAGAACAGTTTCCTATGCTTCTCATAGATCTGGTCTTACAATCCCACCTCCCCGCTTTTGGTTTCCTTTACTTTTTCCTTATTAATTTGATTTATTTTGTTTGTTTGTTTTTACAATAGTTTAGCAACTGCTAAGCATGGCTGTATTAAAATATGGCTTGTTGTATTATACATAGTTTTGGGTTGCTTCTTAGAGTCCTAAGTTGGACTATCCTTCTGACACTATAATCCCGAAGTCATTATTGGGCACAGTAAGAGATTTTCAGCTCCAATATCTAACATCTATGATTATCTCTTGACTTCTTCCACGTGGAGGAGACCTCAGTCTTGTTTTCTTCATAGGCATTAGATTTAACATTTCTGCAGAGCAGAGATCCTTTCATTTGCTTTTCCTCTTAATTACCCCTTATGACTAGTGAAATTAGTTTTGCATAAAATGCTAGAGAACTTTATTGGAGGCCTTGTCTGCCATTAATATTTCCTCTGAAGTGAAACTTGCCTAGTCTATAAGGGACTCCATTAAGAGATGTCAATTGGAAACAAGACAGTCTTTTTGCAGACTCAGCTGGTGATAAATCTTTCCTTTCTCACCCTCAGGGTGATTCAGAGCGTATTTTTCATACTCCTAGACTCTGAATCCTTCCTCTCTCAGGAGAGAGTCATTTGATTGTGTCCACTCTTCCTGGTCTAGCTGTGAAGGCCAATCTGAACCAGGAGGCAGAGAGAGGACTGGATTTGTGATGTTTTAGCCTACCACCCTTGGAAGTCACTCATACTCACCCCTCCCAGTTCTGATCTTCTACTTCAGTTTGGCCAAGTGACTTCTGCCTTATTTTGTCTGTCTGGGCAACTATTTCCATCATTGCCCATAGCATGGGTCTCCCAGAATGAGACTCTTCCTTGCTCTCATGAGTGCTCCCTGGCACTGAAGTTAGTCTTTGAATAATTGTTGTGATCTACTTATGCAAATGGACTGTATACACTTCCAGGATAAATGCCAAGATTCAGAGTTCCCCAGCACACTTCTCCTGCCTGTTCTTTAGTACCATGCTCACCTGCTGTGGAATTCCCCATTCGGGGCTCCTGTCATTAATAGAGAACCGTTGTCACTTCAGAGAAAATCTGGGTCAGTGCCACATCCTCAGAGAAGATAGTTTCCAGGTTTGTGTCTGAGTCAATGTCCACCCATGGCTAACCTGGTCCAGGTAAAGCTCTAGTGCTAAGTTCAGGCCATCCAAGGCTGCCATGTTTGGCTATTGCTATTGTTATCCTGGTGGTGACCGCCTGTACTTACTTCGATGGTAAGCTGGTAGCGGCTTGTGCTTTTATTAGAGCTACACGTAAGAGGTTAGTAAACTTAGAGCTTAGAAAACTCTGATCCCACCTCTGCCTCAACAAAGTAACAGAGTGGTAGCAAGAACCCTAATGTGCAAAAGTCAACTGGCTGTCTTAAAAGAATAATTCCAGTACCATAATCATATATGTGGATTTGAAATTTATTCCCAATTATCTTGTCTGTACTTCTAAAATTGTTGAAGCAGTTCTGAGCATTACAAATACTGGCTTTTTGTCTCTTTATGCCTCCATGTCTGAATATATAAAGTGGTTATTAAAAAGTAGATGCTATTTTTTAAAGAAATGAGATACAAAACACATCTTTATATGCCAATCATTGATTATGTTACCAATAATAACTTTAACCACCTGGACATTTGGGAGCAATTTACATCAAACTAGTGCTTTTCTGGAGAAACATTTACCATCTGCATAATGTAGAATGATATTTCCCATTAATACCTGGTTCATATCTGGGGTATGTAGCAAGAATGAAAAAGATGTTTCTTATGAAAGGCCTGTTTCTTGACAGTATATGAATAGTGTAACCATTACTTTGTGTTCTATTGAAATGATCAATAGACAGACAACTTTTTCTGCTTATAATTGCCAACAACAGAAATGATGGACATTATTATTTCTGTTTGAAAACAAAACCTATTTCTGCAGTTCTATGATTCTGGTTTATTCGTGCTATCTAATGAATGCTTCCAATTACAACACATAAAAAGGACAATTTTATATCTTCTGGTTTTCAAATAAAGTTTGCATTTCATCCAATCTGGACCTTAGCAGTAAAATTACGGATGTCAAATATTTTTTCAGGTAAGATAATTTTTTTTAAGCACAGCAGAGCAATTTTATGTGATACAGAAAATTCTTAGACCAAAAGGCGAGAGCTTAAGCTATTAATGGCTCAAACAATTTGTATTGACTAAATACTAATAAGACCTGATTCTCTATAGCTAGGAATGCCATCTGAACCTAAGTTTGCATCCATCACTCTTTATCCTGGGCTAGTTCAGAGCAAGTTATGTCAATCAGTCCCACATTGGTTTAGTGAATGTTTTCCAAAATGCCAAACTAACAACAATGTTTGCTTTGCAGTCACCAGAGTCTTGCTTATTCCCTTCATCATTACATTTCTACAAATAGTCTTAAACAGAAAACCTCTGGTAAAGAAAAGAGCTAAGTGTCCACCTGCTTTAGTTCCTAGTTAATTTATTTATGTGGATCTTATGTTTTGGCCAATTAACATGTTTGGTTTATAATGTTTCTTTTTTATTCAAGAGGTTGCCTATACCCATTGTAGCTTCTCTGGCCCCCATGCTCCAAATGCCAGCAGCTGGTGGGGGATCATCAAAGCAACATACTAGTCCCAACAGCTGTCACGACATGTTCAAGTTCATCTTGTAGTTTCAAGCCAATTCACCCTCTCTGCAGAAGGAAGAGAGAGAGACAGAGAGAAGGAAAGAAAATGGAATTCCTTTTCTTTGAATTGTTCATATGCCAAAATAGAAAAGAACAAGGGAGGCTTTAAAAAGAAAAGAGCTGTGTATGGTTATGTGAATGATAATGTATACTTACATCTTATTCTCAGTGGCCTTTACACTCACACTTCCAGTTTTTAAATTTAATTTCTATATTTCCATCCATTTTTTTTTGAAAATTAGTTTCTTATTAAAGAAATCTTAGAATAATTTACTAGTTTGTTATAAATGATGTGGAGTATAATTTTCAAGTCTGGGCACTTGAATTCATTTTATAAACATTTTGGAAAATATAGTTATCAAATGCAGCTATTTAATCTAGTTGTTTTTGAAGGTTAATTGTGTGCAAAAAAAGTCCTCTACATTTTTTGTATCAGTCATTAACATAGCTGCCATGCTGTGATTTTCTCTTTTATTACTTTAAATAGACATTCCAAAAGAAATGTTATGTGACTCAGTCAGTCCAAAGCATTCTTACTTGTTCCATAATTAAATAACGCCATTCTTAAAGAGAGAAAAATGCTTATTTTAAGAATTTTCTCTTAAGGAAAAAAACCCTTCATTTGAACAAAATGCAATTAGTACAAAAATGGTAGTTTGAGATTTTATTATATGAATGATTGTCTCAATTATCCATTTAATTTTATTAGTGTAAAAGTGGCATTTTTCATGGACTTACTTTGAGATCCTGAATAAAACATAACCTGTTTTATTTTCCTCATCTCTAAAGACAATACTTATTGTAGAGACTCTTTTAAGGAACAATATGTTAATGGTGTTAAATTATTTTAATTAAAGTAAAGCAGCTCTCTGAAATAAAGATATTCAAATACTAATTTTTCTGTACTCTGAATCACACTTTTGTCTTGCCTTTCAACGATTTGGTCTGTTTTTAATAGAAATTAAGAGATCCTTACTGGCTGCAAAGATCAAATAATTATTATTTAGTATTTTTTGTTAAGACAGAGTCTCACTCTTTTGCACAGGGTAGAGTCCAGTGGTGTAATCACAGCTCACTGCAGCCTCAAACTCCTGGGCTCAAGTGATCCTGCTGCCTCAGCCTCCTGAGTAGCTGGGACCACAGGGGCATGCCACCACACGTGGCTATTTTTTTTTTTTTTTTTTTTTTTTTTTTTAGAGATAGGGTTTCACTATGTTGCCCAGGCTGGTCTCAGGCTTCAGGGCTTAAGCAATCCTCCTGCCTCAGGCTCCCAAAGTGCTGGGATTAAAAATGTGAGCCACCATGCCTGGTGTTGTTTAGTTATTTACTGTAATAGAAATTCCTAGATAGTGTTAAACTTCTAGGTAAGTTACTTTAAATTTTCAATTCAAAAGTCTTTTCATTATATTTATATCAAAGTTTATTTTAACATAAATACTTACAAATGTTCCTAAGCAAGCCACAAAATGCAAGAGAAAATAGAAGGCAGTACTTCTTTAATAGAAAAAGTTGGGTAAATCTAATTCATGTGGCAGTTATATTTTTCCTCAGTTTTTTTGGTCCTATATTCAGACCTGTCCTTTCAACTCACTCTCACCTCTCCCTGACCTGTCTCTGTTAGAGGTTACAGATGAACAGTTATTTAGAAGTGATTTGGTGCTGATACCTTTACCATTTAGTGGAGGTTTGAAGTGGAGTAGAAAAAGAAAGCCATGAAAATTTCCATAATTAATAATAAAACAGACTCTGCCTCCTTCTGACCAACACTGATGGTGTCATCTGAATAGCATCAGCAACTCCCTACTCCCACTCCCCCATCTAGTCTCCCTTTCTTGACTTTTCTGGAAAGTTATAAGAAAAGAATACAAGGGAGGGTATCAAAACAGAAAATAAGTAAAGTAGAGCAGAGAATTAAGGCAAAAGATAAAAGGTAGAGGCTGGGTGTGGTGATTCATGCCTGTAATCCCAGCATTTTGGGAGGCTGAAGGAGGAGGATCACTTGAGCCCAGGAGTTCAAGACCAGCCTGGGCAACATAGTGAGACGCCATCACTACAAAAAAAATTTTAAAAGGCCGGGTGCAGTGGCTCACTCCTATAATCCCAGTACTTTGGGAGGCTGAGGCAGGTGGATCACCTAAGGCCAGTAGTTCAAGACCAGCCTGACCAACATGGAGAAAACCCGTCTCTACTAAAAATACAAAATTAGCCGGGCATGGTGGTGTGTTCCTGTAATCCCGGCTACTCAGGAGGCTAAGGCAGGAGAATCTCTTGAACCCAGGAGGTGGAGGTTGCGGTGAGCTGAGATTGCACCATTATACTCCAGCCTGGGCAACAAGAGTGAAACTCCATCTCAAAAACAAAACAAAACAAAATTAAAAAATAAGCTGCACATGGTGACACACACCTGTTTTCAGCTACTCAGGGGGCTGAGGCAAGAGGATTAACTGAGCTTGGAGGTTGAGGATGCAGTGAACCGTGAGTACATGACTGCACTGCAGCATGGGTGACAGAGTGAGACCCTGACTCAAAATGAAATAAAATAAAATATCATCTCTCGAGGAGTTTTTACCCATATAAGATGTGGGGAGCAGAATTAAGATGATTAAGACAACCAAAAGATGAATTGAAAGATGAATTCACCATTGTGGCTACAGAGGTCATAGGGCCTGGGAGTAAGACCTCATGGTTTGTGATCCTGGATTTACTATTCTATCTCTAGGGCCTAGGGCCAGTTATTTAACCCGATCTGTAAAATGGGAACAATAATTGTTCTACTTCAGAGACCTGTGAAGATTAAATGAGGTAATGCATATAAAGCTCCAGTCAGAGCAGGCTCAGTAAATGCTGTTATTATTATTGTATCTTTTCTTCATCAAAAATTGCACTGATCACAATATTGTAGACCTCAAATTATTGATTTTCCCCACCAAAAGCCTAAGTTACCAGAGAAGAATGTAACTCCCAAAGTAAAAGCCAATTTTTGCCATGTTTCAAAAGTGACTTAATCTCAAGAGACTGGGATAAACCAACCCAAACATATTTCTAGAGACAAAGCTAAAGTAACAGTGGCAGCCATCTGTTGACAAAGATCCTTATCCTAGGATTCAGGGAATCCCCAACACCCAGGTCTTTGTGCTTTAGCTTTTATCCAATTTTCGAGGATGTTCAGAATGTTAATAAAATGTGTGTGCTATCTTTACCTCAAATTAATTCAAAAGGGAAATTAATGATGTAACCATTTCTAATACCAAGGCATGAATAGTAATTGGTACATGCAACAGGTCTATATGCCAGGTTCCCACATTGATTCTGGAAACTCTAGATTTGTGATGCCATGTGAGTGCAGGTGACCTGGTCTGAATAGGGCTGATCTTAGAATATTCATTTTTCCCTCAAATAACCCTTCTCACCCAAAGGATAGACATGGCTGCCTCTGGCTCTAAGTGTTCAAATCCACCCTTGGGTCTTCATTAGTGGATCAGCATCTCCAGGCCTGTAAGGGCTACTGACAAGTTTCCTTGATGAAGAAGTTTTGGCCACTCTTTGTGAGTACTTACCTAAGATAGGTCTGGGGGCCTCAGGGTTCCAGATCAAGCAAAGTCAAGATGTCCAAACTATGAAAACCTCATGGACAATGAGACTTGCTCGTCTCACTACAGGTACAAGAAAGTATGAGGCAGATAACCCAAATGCATGATTTGACCCTCTTAAGGAACAGCTAATATAATTTAGTCTGGAGTTATTATTTGGGCTTTGGAAAAGGTTTGCTCATTCACCACCAGCTTTTGATCCTACAACAGCTGTCATATGCTTTATAGCAATATTAAAGCCAGTCATGTCTGAATTTAGATATTTTAGAATTATTTGCACTTCGTACTTCAAAAATTTTATTTTGTGAGTTATTTGATGTCTAAAAATCCCTAGAATCTTTGTTGTAATCTCTTCAAATCCATTTTTTCCTCCTAAAATAAGAACATTCTCTTTTTCTCTTATTTTTCCTTTTTAGAAAAATCTGTCTGGGTGTGGTGACTCATGCCTATAATCCCAGCACTTTGGGAGGCTGAAATAGGAGGATTGCTTGAGGCCAGGAATTCGAGACCAGCCTGGGCAACATAGAAAGGCCACTGTCTCTACAAAATACAAAAAAGCAAAATCGGGAAAAGAAATTAAACTCCCACATGGCTTAAACCAAATCAAAGTGCTAGAACACCAAGATGTTTAAATAGGTTCTGAATTTGAGAAAGCTCACTTTTAATGTTATTGATTACCTCCACGTAAAATGCAGTGGTGAACTCAGAACTTAAAGCAGTTAAAACATTTTGTTAAATAAGATTTTGTTGTAACACAGTTTTTTTCTGGTAGTAAAGCTATAAAGGTATTAACTAAAAAGAATTTCCATGCTTTAATAGTCTACATAAGCTATTACTATTACATATTTGTGTGGATATTTCCTATAATAATATATATACATAAAAGCATTATCTTGAGTGTGTATATTCTTAAAATACAGGAGAATTGTATTAAAAGATGAAATATGTAATATCTGGGACACAACAAAGCACGTGACATGTGAAAACTATTTTCTGAGCTCTCATTTATCTATTAAAAATATAGAATGAGAGCTAGCATTAAACTACATTAATCTCAGTTTCATTCACCACCTCCAGGACCTTATCCCTATTTTTCAAATTGTCTTCACTGACCTGAACTCAGATATACTTACTGAAACTGGGGCAATTTTATTATCCAGTGAGTGGTTTATGGAATCTGCAATTTATTATAACCAGGTGAATCATGAAATTTGGATTCTTTAAAATACAAAAAGTTACAGTTAATTCTCTTCTTCATTTTTGTTATTAATAATGTTTGACACAATAAGAACTATACTACACTTTCATGTTATTTTCTCTTGCAAGTCTTCAGCTCCTACTGTTTCATCTGTTCTGTCAGCTAATTAAACACATAAACCTGTGAGAAAGCTACTGTTAAATCCACTCTGCTTACAATGATGATTTCTCAATAGGCCTGATGTCCAATGTGTTTGAGGTGCACAGAATAACCTCCTCAGGAAGAAAAATGCATCTGCTCACAAGCTGCCAACCAATATTTGTGACTGCTTCAAATTGAACACTGGTATTTAATCACTTACCACAAACATCTTTGGAAAAAGGCTTGGACTTTATAGATAGATTAAATAATCCAATACATTGCTATCTCTAGAAAATGTACATAATTTTTTAAAAGTGGGAATTGGCTTATTAGGTAAAATTGAAGTAGGCTCTAGATACATACACATGCTTACAGGTATATGTGTATATGCACATACACATGCATATATGTATAAATTCAAATCATTTCTTTAACATAAAAACACTTGTTTTTCATATCTTTCCAGAAAATGGATGTGGTGAGTTCCATGTCTAACATCATTAACAATGTCTTTTGTTGCTGTGCTATTTAAAGCAATCTCTCTGTTTTCAGGTATAATAGCTAAAGTATAATTAGTATGTAAAGAAATATTTACTGGCCGGGCGTGGTGGCTCACGCCAGTAATCCAGCATTTTGGGAGGCCGAGGCAGGCGGATCACCTGTGGTCAGGAATTTGAGATCATCCTGGCCAACAAAGAGAAATCCTGTCTCTACTAAAACTAGAAAACTAGCCAGGCATGGTGACACATGCCTGTAATCCCAGCTATTCGAGAGGCTGAGGCAGGAGAATTGCTTGAACCCAAGAGGTGGAGGTTGTGGTGAGCTGAGATCACACCATTGCACTCCAGCGTGGGCAACAAGAGTGAAACTCTGTCTCAAAAAAAAGAAAGAAAGAAATATTTACTGTCTGCTATAAATACAATTAATTAGACTTAGTACACAGAAATGTTTTTTTGCATGCTATAAATCACTTTTGATTTCAACAAATGGTAACATACAAACCTTAGTAAACTAAACGGTATTTGACTTATCACTGCAAAATAATTGAATAAAGAGAAGAGCTAGGTAAATGGTGTGGAAAAAATATCTAACATCACTCTTATCAAAATGAAAGTTGTTTTGAGATAAAACACAATTTCAGCTTTTGTAGCTAGTGCAATCATTTTCTTACCTTTATTTCAGTAAAACACTTTGCTCCCACAATCTACAACATACACAATCTACAAAGTGCCCTTGTGATGCCTCAATTCCATCAGATAATTTTTTAATTGTATAGCTTGATTTTTGAATATAGAACAATTGATTCTACATGTCATTAACAAAACTAAAAGTACATTTGCATGTATTATTACAGAATGTCACAAATTTGGGAAGTGCCTGGTGGGTTAATTACTAGTAGGAAAAAATTAGTCTTCTTGGTACTAATAAATCTATCCTTGAAAATTGTAAGCATACAACATTGTGTTTTGGATCTTTGAACATCAGACCTATGGGTTTTTTCCCTAGTAACTTCTTTTACTAAATAATATGAATATGCTGACTATGCTTAAATGCAGATTGTAAAGCTTTTAGATCTGAGGCAAAGAGTGAATCTTTGTTTGTGTGAGATACAGCTAAGGTATTGCTAAGGAATTTTAAGCTTTGAGTTTCTTTTTCAATTTGTTGGACATTTGGAAAATGTACTATTCTTTTTCTATTGAGATTCTCACCATATCTTATGCAAAGTAGTGAACTACACCTTCTAAGATCTTAATAGATTCTTGAGGGTTGGGTATTAATGAATAAAGTCACCCTCAAGACATACATATAATGGGAATCATAAAGAAATGAGGGGGAATCTCATTGTTTGTACTATATTTTACAGTAGATACTGTCAGTGTAAGACAGTTTTACCTTCAGGCTTGATCTGATTTTTAGGTGATCATGGGATTTTCCCACTTCTATTACTGACCTATATTACCTGGTACATTATGAGAATAAAGTGTAGCTTTACTAGAGTCTGTTAATAGATACCTAATGCTCCCACATGAGCTTTTAGAGACTTGCACCTTAAGTTCACCTGAGGCGTTTTTGCAGAATTATAACTTAATATAGTTAGCAAAAACCAGGATTCCTAGGTAAGTGCTAGAAAAACTAGATCTTTTCTAATACTGATATTCCCATATCTGCTGTTATTCAAGTCTTGGTTTCACCCAAGGAAATAAAAGGAAATAAAACAAGTTAAAAGTTCGTAGGTGCCTAGAGAAAAGATTCATTTGGGTTCTCACAATCTTATGAAGAAATCTTCTAAGCAGAACACCTCCGTGACTCACTTTCTTGAAGAAAATACTCTGTATGACTCCTGTAGTTAAACTCAACTCACTTCCAAGTTATTCTCACGTGCCTATTTTCTACTGTGCTTCTAATCCCCAATTACTTACATTTACATCTGTTACTAGAAAACTTCTAATTTTCTAAATTCTCAGTAATTTAACAGTCAATAGACACTACTCTGGGTTAAGGTAATAGGAAATTCTGGAGATTAGGTATAGATTACTAGTTGTCTAAAGGCAAACAACAAATTATCTTTTGTGTACATGTATAACTTGCCTAAAAAAATCTACTTTGCATAATATGTATAATATTTAAGAACTTATATGTAACCGTTAAATTACATGCTTTGAATGTACTATATCATTAATTCTTATAACAACCTAGGGAGGCATAGAATAACCACTTTCCCCATTTTGCAGAAGAGGAAACTGATCACTAAATTTGGCTTGTAAATTAACTCCTGTAGAAACATCTGGAGGCAATTGATGAAATCAGAATTTCTTTTCTCTCTCTTTGTTTATTTTTATTTTTATTTATCTATTTTTTGTGTGTGATGGAGTCTCGCTCTGACACCCAAGCTGGAGTGAAGTGGCATGATCTCAGCTCACTGCAACCTCCTCCCCCTACTGGGTTCAAGCGATTCTCCTGCCTCAGCCTCCTGAGTAGCTGAGATTACAGGCATGCTCCATGACACCCAGCTAATTTTTGTATCTTTAGTAGAGATCAGATTTTGCCATGTTGGCCAGGCTGGTCTCAAACACCTGACCTCAGGTGATCTGCCTGCCTCAGCCTCCCAGAGTGCTGGGATGACAGGTGTGAGCCATTGCACCCAGCAAATCTGAATTTCTTAATGTATAAAAAGGTTACCCAGGTGATTTTGACACACACTAACCTAAGAAAAACTGACATAATGGATTTTAAATATAATTTATTAGTATGTATTTGTACATATCTTTCCAGTAATCCAAATACATGATTATAGTGACCTGTATTATCACCACTGAAAAGTTGGGTAAATAGCATTTATCTTGTTGTCTCTTAAAGCCAATGCCACATTGCAAATGATTTGATATTTTCCTGGAGAAAATCAATGATATCAAAGCCAGTCTTTGATTTATAAACATAATAATAGCTTTATTAGGTAAGGCCAAAGCCCCCAATTAGTTTAGTGTGCTTTATTTTCTGGTACTGAGGCAAGACTCTCTACTTAATGCCTCAGAAATTATAAAGTTTTCCAGTCTGATTGTCAGGAGTAGGGACTATTTGTGGTGCTGTTCAAGTGCTGGATACTGCCGCCGTTAGTTCTTTCAGTTGGTTCTTTCTGTGGCCTTGGGTAGTTTATTTACATGCATGTAGTGATCATTACTCTGGTGGACACTCCAGGAAGCCCATCTGCAGATCTCTGGAGTAGTTACTCTGTGAAACTTTCTCCTCTCTTTTATACTGCTCTAACATTCTAGCCTCCTTCATCTTCCTAGATTCCAAGAAAATTTACAGGAATAAAAATGACCCAGCAGGGCACGATGGCTCACGTCTATAATCCCAGGACTTTGGGAGGCTGAGGCAGGAAGATCACTTGAGCCCAGGAGTTCAAGACCAGCCTGGGCAACACAGTGAGGCCTTGTCTCAAATAATGATAATAATAATAATAATAATAATCCAACACTTAACAAGATATAATTTACAATGTCTGGATCTGATTTTAAAAATTTCCAGATATGCAAAGAGTAGGGAGATATGATCCATAATAAGGAGAAAATGAATCAGTCAAAACTGATCAAAAACTAACACAGATATTACAATTACCACACAAGGGTATTAAGCAGTTATTATAACTGTATTACATGTGAACAATACCTAGAGGAAAAATTGAATAAATACATTACAGACAGGGATGACAGAAAAAAGCCCCACCCAAATTGAACTTGTAGAGATAAAAACTATAATGTGTACAGTAAAACATATATTGGATGGAATAACAGCAGACCATATATTTCAGTAAGAAGAATCAGTGAGCTTGAGGACACAGCAATTGAAACTATTTAAAGTGAAATAGAAAGAGAAAAAAAGACCCTAAAAAAATTTAATTTACCATCAGTGACCTGCAGAAGAAAAGCAGCCTAATAACATATAACTGGGGTGCTCAAATGAAGGGAGGAAAATGAAAGGTAATATTAAAAGATACAATAGCCAAAAATGTTCCAAATTTAATGAAAACTATAAACTCACAAACTAAAGAATCTCAATGAATCCCAAGCACAAGAAACATGAAGAAAACTACACCAAGGCACATTATAATCAAACTGCTGAAAATCAGTGATAAAGAGCCAGAGACAAAGCATATATCACACACAGAAGAATAACCACAGAAATGACAGATTTCTTGTCAGAAATAATGCAAGCAAGAAGAGAGTGGAGCAATATCCTTAAGGTACTGAGAGATATTTTAAAAATTCAATCTAGTATTCTACACCCAGTGAAACTATCTTTCAAAAAAGAAAGTGAAGAAAGACTGTTTTTAGACTGTTTTCAAGCTGAAAAATTTTGTGATTAGCAAACATGCACTATAAGAAATGTTAAAGAGAATCTTTCAGATAGAGGAAAAGGGTTTTAAGATATAAAAAGCAAAAACAACAACAACAAAACAATCAAAGAAACTAAGCTCTTATTTATGAACAGATGAATAAAAATGATGTCTCTACCCTGACTGTCAGGATAAAAAGAAAAAAAAAAGGACACGAATTTCCAAGATTGTGCATTATAGAGGTGATATCACTACAGATTCTACAGATATTAAGAAATATGAAGAAAATATTATAAACAACTTAAATAGATACAGTCCTTGAAAGTCACAAACTACCAAAGATCACTAAAGGAATAGGTAAACTAAATAATACAATCTCTATTAAAGATATTTAATTTATAGTTAAAAACATTAGAACCAAAAAAATTACAGGCTTAAATAGCTACACTGGTGGGTTCTACCAAATATCTAATAAATTAATATTATCAATTGTATGCATATTCTTCCAAAAAATTGAAGAGATACTTTCCATGAGGCCAGCATTACCCTGATACCAAAACCACAACAAGGCAAATCAAGAAAACTGCAGACCAATAGTCCATATGCAGATGAAATTACATAGATGAAAAAAGTCCTGACAAAATTTCCAATTACTTAGATGAAAAAAGTCCTGACAAAATTCTAATAAACAGAGTCCAATAGTATATAAAAAGAATAACATATTATTATCAAGTGGAGTACATCTCTGGAATGTAAGGTTGGTTTAATATCTTAAAATTAATCAATATAATTTACCATATTAACAAACAAAAAAGAAAAACTATATAATCTTCTTCCCAATAGTTGCATAGAAAGCTTAAAAGTATTTCACAAAATTTAACATCCTTTCCTTATGAAAACTGTTAGCAAACTAGGAATAGAAGGGAACTTCCTAAGCTGATAATGAGCATCTACAAACAAACCTACAATGACATCAAATTTGATGGTTAAAAAAAAAGTATACTCTCCACCTTAAGATTAGAATGTCTGCTCTTTCCACTTCTATTCAAAATTTCATTGGAGATATTAGCAAGTGAAATAAGGTAAGAAAAGGGGAATAAAAGGCACCCAGATGAAAAAGAAGAAGTGAAACTACATTTATTCACAGACAATATGATTGTGGGTGGAGATATGTGATAGAAACTACAGAAAAGCAATTAAAATCAACAAAGCAATAAATAAATTTATCATAGTTTGTAGGATTCAAGATCAACAGAAAAATATCTATCATATATGTGTACAATCACAATGAGTAATTATAAATTATAATTTAAAACATAATATTATTTATAATAATATTTAAAATCATTATATACTTAGGAATAAGCTGACAGGGTGCACAATAACTGCACACTGAAAACTACAACACATTGCTGAGAAAATTAAACAAGACAAATAAATGGAGAGTTCATGCATCAAAAGATATAATATTGTTAAATGTCAGTTCTTTCCAAATTGATCTACAGACTCAATAAAATCCAAACAAGATCTCAGCATTTTTTTTTTTTTGGTGGATATTTACAAGCTGATTCAAACATTTTTCTGGATATTCAAAAAATCTTGAATAGTCAAAACAACTTGAAATTGAAGAAAAAGTTAAAGGCTTAACACAACCTAATTTTGAAATTTATATAAACTAGTGTAATATATAGAAAAATAGATAAATGAAACAGAATTGAGAATCCAGAAATAAACCCATGCAATTACAGAAAACTAGTTTTGAATAAATATGCAAAGATAGTTAAATTTTTAAAAGGATTGTCTCTTCAAAAAATGATGCTGAAGTAATTAAATATCTATATGCCAAAAACAGAAGAGAAAAAAATAATTTTTATTTCTCACATCATTACAAAATAATTCAAAATGAATCACAGACCTAAATGTGAAACTTAATGAAACTTTCAGAAGAATAAGGGTGGAAGATTTCTTAGGTATGACAATAAAAACATAACTGAGAACAAAATAAATGGATAAATTGGACTTCATTTAAATGTATACTTCTGCTATTTAAAAGACACTTAAAAGATAAGCCATAACCTGGGAGAAAATATTTGCAAGCCGATTATCTGCTAAAAGACTTGTGTCCAGAATGTATAAAGAACTCTCGAAAGTCTATAATAAGAAAACAAACAATTTTTTTCAATGGGCAAAACCAAGTAATATTTGTAAATGTCAAAATTAAGTATATGAAGAAAAGCACAACATTATTAAAATACTCATTAAGGAAATGCAAATTAAAATCATAATGAGACACCACTACACACTTATTATAATAGCTAAAATTAAGGTTGACCATAATAAGTGTTGGCTAGCATGTGAAAGAACTGGAACTCTCATATATTGCTTGTGGGAATGTTAAGTAGTACAACCGCTTTTGAAAATAGTTCGGCAGTTTTTGAAAAGTTAAATTACACCTACGATAGGAAGCCGCTGTTTCACTCCTAGGTCTTTACCCAAAAGAAATAAATGCATACATTTATTCTATATAAAGACTTATAAAGACTTTTTCATGAATGCTCATAGTAGCTTTATTTATTATTTATTTATAATTTTCCTTTGATTTGATACGTGATTTAATTTTATTATTGGAAATATTTTTTTATTTTTTCATTTCCATAGATTACTGGGGAACAGGTGGTGCTTGATTGCAGGAGTAAGTTCTTTAGTGGTGATTTGTGAGATTTTGGTAAACCCATCACCTGAGCAGTATACACTGCACACAATTTATAGTCTTTTATTTAAATAATTTTTTCATTGATGCATAATAGATACACATAGTTTTTTAGTACGTGTGATAATTTAACACATTCATATAATTTGTAAAGATCAAATCAGTATAATTGGGATATCCATCATTTTAAATATTTGTCTTTTCTTTATGCTAGAAACATTTGAATTATTATCTCACTATTTTGAAATGTGTAATAGATTATTGTAAACTATAGACACCATACTTATCTATCTGACATTAGGTCTTATTTCTTTTATCTAACCATATATTTGTATCCATTAACCAACTTCTCTTTCTGCCATTTTCCTTCTCCCCTTCCCAGCCTCTGGTAACCACCAATCTACTCTTTACCTTCATGAGATCCACTTTTTTTTTTAGCTCCCTCATATGAGTGAGACCAGGCAATATTTGTCTTTCTGTGTTTGGCTTATTTCACTTAACATAAAAGCAAATTTTATAATAGGCAAAAACTGGAAACAACCTAAATGTCTATCAACAGGTGAATGAACATATCCAAATAATGTTATTACTCAGAAATAACAAAAGAATGAACTATTGTTAAATATGAAAACATGGAAGAATCTCAAAATAATTAGGCTGAGTGAAAGGGGACAGACCTCCTCAAAAGCATACATTGAATGATTTCTCCTATATAAAAATTTTTAAAATGCAAAGTGATCTATAGTGACAGAAATTAGAATGGTGCTTGACTGGGGATGGGCTTTGGGAGAGGTTGGCAGGGGTGGAAGGGTGCATAACAAAGAGGCTTCAGGAAACTTGGAGGTACTAGATATGTTCATTACCTTGTTGGGGTGACTTAATGGGTATACATATATATCAAAACTTGTCAAATTCTACAATTAAAATATATGCCATTAATGTATGTCCATTATGTCTCTTGTTTTAAAAAAGAAAAAAAAAAAAAACAGAAAGAAAAATTCCTGGGCTCCAACTGCTCACAACTAAATGTGATAAATGGACTCCATAGACAATCTCAGTAACAGGTGGTAAAGTGGTACCTCAGCACTCTGCACAGTTGCTATGAAGGGCAGGGGAGAGTGTAGCTTGAAACATCCAAGAAGGGGTTCTGTAGGAAACCCATGAATTGCATGAGTGTAGTCACATCTCACATCCTACCCTCTTTTTCCATTACACCTTCACACCATACCTCTCCTGAGTTCCAATCCCCTTCTAATATATTTTCCCTTGTAGGATCAGTCTCTTACATAGACAGGTTTCAAAAAGTCAAGTGCAAGTTAATGTACACCAATAGGACTGGTCTGAAATAAAGCACAGCTCACCTTAATTCAATGTCTAACAGAGAAACAAACAGAAATACCTTTAGACCGCATTTATCATTCTTTCAGAATAAGGATCATGTGAATAAGCCCATACATTGGCCTATGGACTAGGTATCCTCTACAGTAGCTTATTTGCAACAGGAATGCTGGCTCATTGTAGCAGATTTATATTACCATTGCTCTAGAAAATAATGGTATGTCTACAACCTGTTGCTTTAGACCATTGGAAAAAACTGGCACATGCAATGACAGAGAAGGGAACATACCTCGATAGGTGGTATATCCCAAGGGGTAGAAAAACACCTCGCAGGCCAGGCTCAGTGGCTCACACCTGTAATCCCATCACTTTGAGAGCCTGAGGCAAGTGAATCACTTGAGGCCAGGAGTTTGGAAAAAACCTGGCCTACAACATCAAAAGGTGAAATGTTCTTATTGATTTTGCCAATATCTTGTCTACATCCCAGTTTCTTCTTCAGGACTTATTTGAGAGTTGGATCCCGGAGAAAGAACTCCATGATAGCCACATTCAATTTTATTGAAAAATCAATTTTCCAAATATCTTTGCACAGAAAATTCCTACTCTGTATAGATTTCAAGCCTGTAAAAGGCTAGAGAACTATAACAGAGACATACATAGTTATAACTGTATCACTTCCCTATCAAAATATTGCTAAGGGAGATAATTACTATTTTACTTTTAAAATATAAAAGCAATATATGTTTAGTATAAAGTAATGGGGTGTACATATAAATGGACTACAGAAAATAAGCATCAACAACAGTCTTGTAGTCAAGAAATGGCCTCAGTTAACCCTTTCGTCTGTGCCATATTGGTCACTTTTGTTGCATATCTTAGGTTATTTTTACAAAGTCAGAATCATGTATGTGTGTATAGACACATTTTTAGAAATATTTATGTTAAATATATATCGAAGTATATATTTTTGAAAGCTATATAGGATTCCATCATATAGATATACCATAGTTTGTTAGTATTTTATTCTTGTTTATATTATTTCCAATTATTAATGATTAAAAATAATGCTAAATTGAATATATTTGCATATAAATCTTAGCGTGTTCCTCTATTTTCTTAGGATAAACTCTGAGGAAGAAAATTATTGGACTGTAGGTCAGATATATGTTTAAGCTTTTGGTATATAAGGGGATTTCCTCTGAGATAGGGCACGCCTTTTTAAAAATCCCTAAAGTGTATGATAGAGCTTCTTGGGAAGACCCTCAGCCATCTTGACATTATTCTTTAGTCTTTCAAATATTTGCCAATTTTCTAATTTTCATGTTAGTTGGTTTTTGTTTGATAACTTTTGGGACTCATTTCTGGTTTATATAATTGACCCTGTGTATTACATATTCATGCTGCTTGCTCATTTTCTTCTATTAAAATATTTCTTTTATTTATATATTTAGTTTCTTACTGATTTTTGTAGCTCTTTACCTCAGACATACCTATCACAAATGTTTTGTCCAATTTTTCTTTTGCATTTTAATTTACTTTTAAACATTGAGTCTATTATAAATACAAAAAACTTCATTCTTTTTAAAGTGAATACTTCATTGAATTTTAAATTATATGACTGCTACCAGAATTAAAACAGACAACATTTCTGTCACCCATAAAAGTTATCTCTTGTTTCTTTTAAGTCATTCCCTTTGGCAAATACCTAGGAGTAGGATTACTGGATTGTAGAGTAAGTGCATGTTTAATTTTATAACAAATTGAAGAACTGTTTTTCAAAGTTTCTATAGCATTCTGCATTCACCAGCAAGGTATGAGAATTGCAGTTGCTCTGTATCTCCACCAGCATTTTATATTATCAGTGTGTTTAATTTTAGCTATTCTAGTGGGTGTATAGAGCATCTTGTGGCTTTAATTTATATTTCTTTGATGTCTAATTGCATTGAGGGTTTTTTTCTTGCTATTAGTGGCCATCCACATATATGTAGTGTTATTGAAGAATATATTGAAATCATTTGTCCCTTTTTTCTTGGGGTGTCTTATTGTTGAGTTGTAACAGTTCTATATATTCTGTATACAAATCAGATATGTGTCTTACAAATATTTTCTTTTCTTTTGGTCTGTGGATAGTCTTTTCATTTTTTTAAAATGTTTCAATTATGCAACTATTGCCAAAATTAAAATATACAATACTTATGCCCCCCCCATAGAAGTTCTTGCTTCACCCTTTCCTAAATCAAAAGACAGGTAGTTTTTGAATATCAAAAATTTCAATTATAATAAGGGACAAATTATAAATTGTATTTCTGTTATGGTTCATGCTTTGTGTGTTATATATAAGAAACCATTACCTAGCCTAATCACAAAGATATTTTCTTATGTTTTCTTCTAAAGATTTATGCCTTTAGGTTTTTATGATTTAATCCATTTCAAGTTAATTTTTTTATCAGGTGCAAAATAATGTTGGAGGTAATTTTCAATGAATGTCTAGTTGTTTCAGGACCTTGTTGAGTATCTTTTCCATGTTGAAATACTTGAGCACCAAAGAGAAGAGCTAAGATCGTCAACTATATGCAGCCATGGAGACTGTCCCACCAAGAGACTAGACCATCAAGAAGACTGGCACACTCCAAGCATCTTGGGAAGGAAGACATTGAGAGTGAACAGAGGGACAACAGAGACCCTGGGTTGAAGGCAGAGGAAGCTGGGAACCCTGCACAGGTTTGTCAAGCACTAGGACTCATTCCTGGCCCTGACCAGTGCCTAGGGAAGGAGTGAGTTAAATAAGCATGGAGTAGACAACTCTGACCATGGACCTCTAGAATCCTAGCTGCAGGAGACCCTATGACCTCCATAGACATTTGAGCTAGCAGGAAGAGCTGCTCAGAGAGTTGTTAGGGACAGGATTCCAGCCTCTGTGGAGCACAGAGGGCTTGGCAAGGGAACAGGTGCAGAGGAGCACAGCCAGGGACACCTGTCATCCAAGGTTCATTGCACTTCTGTAGGTCACTTGGGTCTTTGTTGATTGGCAGACCTGGACAGACCATGGGATGGAGCTAGACTGATCTGAGCACTTTCCTGTGTGCCAGTCTCTTCCAGGTTTCCTGCCTGGCTGCACCTGCTTGCAGAGCAGCTTCAGATACCCAATTAGGGTACTTCTCAGTGGCCACTGCCATAGCTTCTTCACTGGCAGACCCCACTTAACCATCTGAGAACTTCTGCAGATAGCCCCCCACTGGCATGCACCCACCTGTAGCCTTCCTCCATTGCTTTGCCAGTGCACATTTGTGCACAGCCTCCCCCCAGTGCTTTGCCAGAATATGTGTGGAGCCTACCACACCACCACCCAGCTACTGCTGGTGCACATGAACCTTGCCATGCAGCTGTTTAGCTACCACTGACATGTGTGTGCAAGTGCGGACCCTGCTGCTACCACCCCAATGAAGTGCTTCTGCTGGCACCCCCACCCCCATCAGAGCTTTGTTGCCAGCAGAAGTGTGAACACCTCGACATCTCCAGCACAGGTACTCAACTTATAGGGGCAAGAGAACAAAGCCACGGATCTTGTCCCAGGCCCCCAAGGTTAGGGCACACAGCTTAGGAGTGCTGAGCTGAGTGTTGGCCCCCTGAAAAAGTCCAGAAATGAAGCCAATTGACTGAACCCAATTTATAGCACAGACAAACCCTCAAGGACACCAAAGACTATAAAAGCAAAAAGCCCCATTCAAAGGGCAGCAACTTCAAAGATTAAGGGAACATTAGCCCACACAGATGAGAAAAAACCAGGGCAAGAAACCTGGCAACTCAAAGAACTAGAGTGCCTTCTTACCTTCAACAAACCACACCAGCTCTGCAACAATGGTTCTTTTCTTGACTGAAATGGCTGAAATGACAGATGTAGAATTCAGAATCTGGATGGCAGGTAAGATTATTGAGATTTATGAGAAAATGGAAATGGAAGCCCAGTTCAAGGAATATAAGAAATCCAGTAAAATGATACATGAGCTGAAAGACAAAATAGCCATTTGAAGAAAGAACAAAACTGATCCGATAAAGCTGAAAAACTCACTATAAGAATTTCATAATACCATGGGTAGTATTAATAGCAGAATAGAACAAGCTCAGGAAATAATCTCAGATCTCAAAGACTAGTCCTTTGAATCAATTCAGTCAGACAAAAATAAAGAAAAAAAGAGTAGAAAAGAAGGAACAAAACCTCTAAGAAATATGGGATTATGGAAAGAGGCAAAACCCATGACTCATTGATGTCCATGAAAGAGAGAGCAAGCCACTTGGAAAACATATTTGAGAATGTTATCCACAAAATTTTCCCCAACCTCACTAGAAAGATTGACATTCAGATTCAGGAAATTCAGAGAACCCCTGTGAGATACTATACAAGACAATTGTCCCCAAGACACATACATAGTCATCAGATTCTTCAAGGTCAATGTAAAAGAAAAATTTTTAAAGGCAGCTACAGAGAAGGGGCAGGTCACATCCAAAGGAACCCCATCAGGTGAATAGTGGACCTTTCAGCAGTCACCCTCCAAACCAGAAGAATATGAAAAAAATCTTAAAAAAAGAAAAATACACCAAAATTAATCACACCTCGCAAGGATTAAAACCACACATATCGTACATTTGGGCCTTGCTTCTTTATCCAAATTTTAAATGAGGCATTTAGCATGTTTAATTTGATGTGTGGATTTGATCCCGTGAGGTGTGGCCAGTTGGTTGTTATGTAGACTTGATTACGTAGTTGGCCTATGTCCAAAATGGCATTTCCTAGGTTTTCTTCTAGGGTTTTTACAGTTTTAGGTTTTACATTTAAGTCTTTAATCCATTGTGAGTTGATTTTTATATACGTTGAAAGTAGGGAGTGTAGTTTCAGTCTTCTGCATATGGCTAGCCAGTCATCTTATTCATTTACTGAATAGGGGAGTCCTTTTCCCATGGCTTTTTGTTGTTGACTTTGTTGAAGATCAGGTGGCTGCAAGTGTGAGGCTTTATTTATGGGTTTTATAATCTGTTCAATTGGTCTATGTGTCTATTTTTGTACCAGAGCCATGGTGTTTTGGTTACTGCAGCCTTGTGATATAGTTTGAAGTCAGGTAGTATGATACCTCTGGCTTTATTCTTTTTGCTTAGGATTACTTTGGCTATTCAGGCTCTTTTGTGGTTCCATATGAATATTAGGATTGTTTTTTCTAATTCTGTGAAGAATGGCACTGGAAGTATGTTAGGAATGGCATTGAATCTGTACATTCTTGAAGTATGGCTATTTTAACAATATTGATTCTTCCTACTTATGAGCATGGAATGTTTTCCCATTTGTTTGTGTCATCTCTGATTTCTTTCAGCAGTGTTTTGTAGTTCTCATTGAAGAGATCTTTCACTTCCCTGGTTAGCTGTATTCCTAGATATTTTATTCTTTTTGTGGCTATTGTGAATGGGATTGCATTCTTGATTTGGCTCTCAGCTTTGATGTTATTGATGCATTGAAATGCTACTGATTTCTGTATGTTGATTTTGTACGCTGAAACTTTGCTGAAGTTGTTTATCAGATCTAGGAGCCTTTGGGCAGAGGCTATGGGGTTTTCTAGGTATAGAATCATATTGTCTGCAGAGAGAGAGTTTTACTTCCTCTCTTCTCGTTGAATGCCTTTTATTTCTTTCTCTTGCCTGATTGCTCTGGCTAGGACCTCCAGTAATATGTTGAAGAGGAGTGCAGAGTCTGGGCATCCTTGTCTTATTCTCTTCCTCAAGAGGAATTATTCCAGCTTTTGCCTGTTCAGTATGGTGTTGGCTGTGGGTCTGTCATAGATGGCTCTTATTATTTTAAGGTATGTTTCTCTGATGCATAGCTTGTTGAGGGATTTTAGCATGAAGGAATGTTGAATTTCATCAAAAACTTTTTCTGTACCTATTGAGATGATCATGTGGTTTTTGTTTTTAGTTCTGTTTATGTGATGAATCACAGGTATTCATTTGTGTATGTCGAACCAACCTTGCAACCCAAGAATAAAATCTACTCGATCATAATGGGTTACCTTTTTGATGTGCTGTTGGATTTGGTTTTCTAGCATTTTGTTGAGGATTTTTGCAACTACGTTCATCAGGGATATTGGCCTAAAGTTATCTTTTTTGTTGTTGTTGTGTCTTTACCAGGTTTTGGTATCAGAATGATGCTGGCCTCATAGAATGAGTTAGGGAGGAGTCTCTCCTCCTTGATTTTTTGGAATAGTTTCAGTAGGTTTGGTACCAGCTCTTCTTTACACATCTGGTGGAATTCAGCTCTGAATCTGTCTGGTCAGGGCTTTTTCTGAATGGTAAGTTATTTTTACTGAGTCAGCTTCAGAACTCATTATTGGTCAGTTCAGGATTTCAATTTTTTTCTGGTTCAATATTGAGAGGTTGTATGTTTCCAGAAATTTATCCATTTCTTTTAGGATTTCTAGTTTGTGTTCATATAAGTGTTCATAACATTCTCTGAGGTTGTTTTTTATTTCTGTGGAGTTGGTGGTAATGTTCCCTTTGTCCTGATTTTGTTTATTTGGATCTTCTCTCTTTTTTCTTTATTAGTATAGTTAGTGTTCTATCAATTTTATGTATTATTTCCAGAATCAAATTGATCTTTTGTATGGTTTCTCATGTCTTGATTTCATTCAGTTCAGCTCTGAGTTTGGCCGTGTCTTTTCTTCTGCTAGCTTTGGGACTGGTTTGCTCTTGTTTTTAGAAAAATAATGTACGGTATGATACCAGATTGTTAATTTGGGATCTTCCTAAATTTTTTATGTGGGTGTTTAGCACTAGAAACTTTCCTCTTAACACCGCATTAGCTGTATCCCAGAGATTCTGCTATGTTATATCTTTGTTTTCATTAGTTTCAAAGAATTTCTGGATTCCTGCTTTAATTTCATTGTCTAACTAAAAGTCATTCAAGAATAGACAGTTTAATTTTCACATAACTGTATGGTTTTGAGAGATTTTCTTTGTATTGATTTCTCTGTTTATTGTGCTGTGGTCCAAGAGTATGGTTAGTATGATTTTCTTTTTTTGGAATTTTTTGAGAATTGCTTTATGGCAAAGTGTGTGGTCAATTTTAGAGTATGTGCCATGTGTGATGAGAAGAAAAAGTATTCTGTTTCTGTTGGGTGGATGTTCTACAGGTGTCTGTTAGGGTCCATTTGGTCAAGTGTCAAGTTTAGATCACAAATATCTTTGTTAATTATCTGTGTCAATGATCTATCTAATGCTGTCAGTGAGGAGTTGAGGTCTACCTCTGTTATTGTGTGGCTATGTAAGCTTCTTCATAGGTTTCTAAGAACTTGTTTTACGGATCTGAGTTCTCCACTGTTGAGTACATATGTATTTAGTACAGTTAAGTCTTCATGTTGAATTCATTTCTTTATCATTATGTAATGCCCTTCTTTGTCCTTTTTGTTTATTGTTGGTTTAAAGTTTGTTTTGTCTGAAATGAGAATAGCACCCCTTGCTCTTTTTTGTTATTGTTTGCTTGACTGATCTTTCTCCATCCCTTTACTTTGAGCCTGTGGGTGTCACTGCATGTGAGATGAGCCCTTAAAAACAGCAGACAATTAGTTGGGTCTTGCCTCATTGTCCTTATCATTTGGACATAGGCCCTGACAAAGACTCATGACAAAGACTCCAAAAGCAATTGTAATGATAACAAAAATTGACAAGTGAGACCTAATTAAATGAAAGAGCTTCCTCGCAGCAAAAGAAACTATCAACAGAATAAGCAGACAACCTACAGAATGGGAGAATATTTGCATCCAACAAAGGCCCAATATCCAGAATCTATAAAGAACTGAAACAAATGAAGAAGAAGAAGAAAAAAAAACCCATTAAAAAACGGGCAAAGGACATGAACAGACACTTTCATGTGGCCAATAAGCATATGAAAAGATGCTGAATATCACTAATCATTAGAAAAATACAAATCAAAACCACAATGAGACACCACCTTACACCAGTCAGAATGACTATTATTAAAAAGCCAGAAAATAACTGATGCTGGCAAGGTTGCAGAGAAAAAGGAATGCTTATACACTGCTGGTGGGAATGTAAACTAGTTCAGCTACTGTGGAAAGCAGTTTGGAGATTTCTCAGAGAACCCAGAACTACCATTCAACCCAGCAATCCCATGACTGAATATATGCCCAAAAATATATATATAAATTCTATCATAAAGACACATACATGCATATGTTCATCACAGCACTATTCACAACAGCAAAGACATGGAATCATCCTAGATGCCCATTGACAGTGGACTGGATAAAAATAATGTAGAACATATACATCACAGAATACTATGCTGCCATCAAAAGGAATGAAATCATGTTTTTTGCAGGACCATGTGTGGAGCTGGAGGCCATTATCCTAAGTGAATTAACACAGAAACAGAAAACCGAATATCACATATTTTCTCCTATAAGTAGGAGCTAAACTGAATACTTATAAAAACAAAGAAGGGAACAATAGACGCTATGGACTACTTGTGGGTGGAGAATGGGAGAAGAGTGGAGGGTAGGAGGAGGTTAAGGATCAAAAAACGATCTATTGGGTACTATGCTAATTACCTGGGTGATAAAATAATCTATACATCAAATACTCAAGACATGCAATTTACCCATATAACAAACCTGCACATGTACCCCCTGAACCTAAAATAAACGTGGAGGAAACGAAAAAATCTTAAAAAATAAAATAAAAATATACTTGAGCAACTTTGTACAAAATCAATCGAAACTGTTGTGTGGGTCTATTTCTGTACAATCTGTTCTGTTTCATTGATTTATATGTCAATCCTCATATTAATACCACATTGTCTTTTTTACTTTAGCTTTATAGTAAGTCTTGAAATAAGTAGTATAAATTCTTTTTTCAACTTGTTTTGGTTAATCTAGGTCCCTTGGATTTGAACACGGATTTAAAATCAACTTAGTATTTTCTTGAAAAAAATACTGTTAAAATTTGGTTGAGATGGCATTGACTTTGTAAATCAATTTGGGTAGTATTGACATCTTAACAATATTGATTTTCCAATCAGTGAACAGCATATACCTCCCCATTTCTTTAATTTTTTCTCATCAGTGTTTTATGGCAACTGTTGGGTCAGAACATTTTAAATTTTAGTAACTAACTATAGGCAGCTAGTATAGATGTGTGTATTGAGATGTTCATCACAGTGTTTAAAACAAAAAAGTGAAACAAACCAAAGGTGTAACTAGACAGAGTTGTTTAAATTATCTTTGGCAGTATTCAGTGCTTTAAATGCCTGTATTTTTCCAAAAAATACAGAGGAAATATATTAATTTCAGTGATATACTATTGCTCAAAATATTTTGGCAACTCAGAATTTGTAGAACACACTTTTAAATAGCTTCCATTGAAGATGTGCTCCTCGGATGATGGGGTAGAATTGTGATAAAACCAAATGTCATTCAGAGTCAAAACTGACAAAGTAGAATGAAAGGTCATCTAGGTAAGCTACTTGGGTCAAAAATAAATAATTTTTGTACACAATTTATAAACTTGCTTTTAAAGAAAATTTATTATAGATTTTAATAGGTTTGAACAGACCCTGCCACAGGTTGCCTGTATCTCATAAATGAATTATTTCTTATGTGAAACAGTGTGGTGTATTAAAAAAAATTAGATTTCTTTAAAAATAAATCCAGATTTTATTTCTGACTCTGACAGCATCTACCCATGTAGACCTGGTATAAGGCATTTAGCCCTTCTGAGAACCACTTGTACTGACAGTGAAACAGTTATCTGGACCCCGCCCTGCAAATTCTCATCTAATTGATCTAAGGCAGATGAGTCTCAGAAATTTGAATTTTTAATGTCCTTTTTTTTTTGATGTTTTATGGCAACAAGTCTATAGACAGGCATTGGGGACTATTGGAATAAATAATCATTAGAATTCTTTCTAATTCTAAGGTCTTATGATTTTGTAAAAGCAATGGAAAAAAATGGAGATTCTATATCACTTCTAATCAGTTCCTAATGATCACAGTTGCTGCTGATTAGAGTAAAAGGAGGTTTCATTTCAAATTAAGAAATAATTATTGAAATAATGAAAATAAGAGTCCTTCATATCAAATAGTGCAAACAGCAATGAATAAAAGAGCATTTCATTGTCCCCTGCTCTAAAATTCTTAAGAGTATTGACAATTTTCCACTCCTTCCTTTAGGGAAGAAGAAGAAAAAAACAGATAAACTTATTCGGAATTCTATGTACTTTGCCCTTTAGAACTAGATGGTGTTACTGAAAGTAATATGGATCCCAGCACATTACAATATATAAATATCAGAACCTGAATATAAATGTGCAGTGCATCTTTGGCCTTTGGGATATTAAAATGCTTGATGAGCCATGGACACACATTAAGTTTTAAAAAAAGAAGAGAAAGATGGTCCCCCTAAGTTATATTATGAACCCACCGGGAAAGAACAATGTCTTATTTGATGTCCTCTATAGTACTTAGTGTATGCTGAAGTTCAATAGCCATTCAATAAAAAACACTAATAATATGTATGATTATAAGTTAAGCAATGATGAAACTACTAGTTCGCTGATAGTTAATAAACATTTGATAGAGAAGTAGACATAACTTTCATACTACACAGTATTTCATATATAAACATATTCATAAATATTTTTGTATCACTTATTTGTTTTATGATATGTAATGAACTCACTTCATATATAAAATGAGCTTTACCTGTATTTTATTTTACTTTCCTTGAATTTATGCATTCAATTCATATATAAACTAATTTACTCATACATTTGACAAACATATTTTTAGCACCCACTCTGCATAAAGCACTTCCCTGGCACATTAAAAAAAAAAAAAAAAAACTAAAAAAACTAAACGTCTACCCTTTTCTAACAAATTGTCCCCCTTCTTTTTTTTTCTGTTTAATCATCCTAAATATTTTTACCAAGTGCATCGCATACTCTTGGTCACACTGGTCATTTTTTCCTAAGCCAAGAAACCTCTATGTCCCTGAGACACAATGCATAACTTTCAGTATCATGACAATAACCATCATATTTCCCCAAAATAATGGCATTATTTTTTGTTAGACCTATCTGCCTTAATCTTCAAGACAGCCCCATGGACATTTGTTCTTGTTCTTGTGTTGAACTTCTCATACATTAGCATTTTATCATTGACAGCTTGATTTTCCCATCTTCTTCATTTCTTTCATTCATGGCTCACCTCTCTCAAGAAAACTTCAACTTAGAAAAGCAAGTTCAGTCACACCCATGCCAGTACCTTCTCTATTCTCACAGACTTAGTGTAACATGTAATCTTCAGTTACTGTAATGACATGGATATGAACTGGCTCATTATTACATTGAGAACCTACTTTGTATAGGACGTTGGCAAAATCTGAGGATGCCAAGAGGTAAAATATAAGTTTTGACAAGATTGTTAATCTGTTTGAGAGGGTAAGTGGGTAACAACATTACAGAACACATGCTAAGTCCAAATTAGTAGAATAGATAGAAACGTAGGGTAGAATCAAAATATACATGCTATAATCCAGATACACTGCACTATGCACACACACACACACAAACATACCTATTGCTTCCTTTTAGCTGATTTTATCATGTCCTGTGCTTCTTTTTGTTTGTTTGTTGACAAAGCATCTCACTCTGTTTCCCAGGCTGGAGTGCAGTGGTATGATCACAGCTCAAGCGGTCCTCCTGCCTCAGCCTCTCAAGTAGCTGGGACTACAGGTGTGTGCCACCAAACCCAGCTAATTTTGTTGATATTTTTGTAGATACAAAGTCTCACTATGTTGCCCAGGCTAGGCTTCTATTTTTATTCAGTAGAAAACTGTTTTTAAAAATTTCTTGTCAATTCAATTGTCTTTTTTGATTGAGTGCTAGGTAAAGGCAGTGGTGCATTACAATGGAGATATATAGGCCTTTTCTTCTCCTTTTTCCTTTCCCCAGGGATATCTATCTGGTCAAAGAAAGTTTTGCAATTCTGTGGTAGCAGGAGAAGGGGCTCATGTATTTTCATGTAACTTTCACTATTGGCTTTCTCTGACCTGTAGCTGAGCTCATAGATTCTGATTTAGAGGAGTTGGCCCAAGGTTAGAGCAAATGTTGCCCTCAAGTGGGAAATGCCTAATCATTGTTTTGGAGAGTTGTGCGATCTTCGTTGCTGACCAGGCCCCCACCTTGGCTCTTGATGACAACCCTGACACCATCAATGTCTTCCTCTTGTCTCCTGCTTCAGGTGGTTCCTCTGAGACTTTTAGAGGTACTTCCACCTCAGGGTGATGGCACCTTGGTTTTGTAGGCACACTGACTCAATATAAGGTATGTTTTGTATGTCTTCAGTGTCACAAAGGAAATTCTGGATAGCAATAACAGCTTACATAGACCACGGAAGGCCAAGAGAGAGAGAAAGAGGAAGGAGAAAGGGGAGGCTCACTAGGAAGAACTACGAGTAGTTATGTTCAATTATTGTGAAGTTGGAGCAAGTTACAAGCCTTGAGCTTTGGAGAGACATTGTAAACAGCCTTGTATGCCTTGCTAGCAAGTTTAGAATTTATCCTAAATACCACTATTTCCAACAAAAAATTATACCCATCCCCAGGGTCACAAGGGAAATTAGAGTTCAGAGGTCACAACTGTGGATTATTAGTGGTGAAATTAGAGACCAAAGGCTTAAGTGATAGGGAGAGGGAGATCTCTTGCTCTTGTAGGACAAGACCAAGTCAGCATTATGCAGCCTTGTATCATTACTATCTGAAGTATAGTATTAAAAAAACTTATTGAATGAATGAATATAATTAATGAAGTAACAAAATTCCATCTACATTCCTAAAGAGATGGTTTTAGCGGGCTTTCCTTAGGAACTTGCATTCTAAATTCAGAGACACAGTGAAGTTTTTTGGAATATGAATAAATTCAACTTGTACTAAAGAGTTATGCCATTTCTACTGTAAGAAACAGCCCATCCTGTAATATTTCAGGTTATTTGAATAAGAGCCTGAATAGTTGCAGCACTAAGGACAGGAGGCTTTATGCTGCTTGCAGTTTCAGTCCGTTGGGAGACCCTTGGAATTGTTTGCTGTCAGCACACATAACCTGCTGAAGCAACTTCAGAATATAGCTGCCCTGCTCAATGATGGCAGCAGCCCCTTTCATCTTAAAGTATCATTTTAATTGTGTAGCAAGTGGAGCTTTGTAAAACAAGAGTGTACAGAGATGTCTCTACACTGCCCATTAAGTCGTGTTATCTTTAGCATCATCAATTTGCATGCTGAGGAATTTCAGGTGGAAGCAACCTTCTGAGACACTTCAGTTATTTTAGTAACAAAATGCACAGGGTCATTAATTTCATTTGGATCTATTTTGAGACTTAATCATTAAATTTAAAATATTTTTTAAATCTAGGGAAAATGTTGAATTTCAATATCATCATATACTCACTAGGGTATCTGAGTCATGGTAATGAAGGTTTGAGATTATAAACCGTTCCCAAAATACGTAGAACTCTCCTTTCAGCAACCAAGTGCCTCATATTTTATAAACATCATTTCATTTCATTGTTGCAACAACCTACATAGTAGCTATTGTTAACTCCACTTTACAAGTAAGGAAGACAAGGAGACAGCCTCAGAAAGCATAAATTCCCTATTCAAAGAAATTCTTTTAAAAAGCTGGGAGGGTCTGTCTCACTCCAAAGTCTTTGGCCTACCTGCAGCAGCCTCTAGGCAAACCCCCAGGGTTACTGATTTGGCAGGTCCACTCTCCTGGAGAATCACGAAATGGCTCAGTATTACTTATTTATTATTATGAACACTGCTGTTTCTCTGCTCTGAACATCTATGCCCATTTCTCCATTCTGTTACATAGTTGTGAATATTAAAATGCTTTGGGAATGAGGGGAAATGTACAGAGAACTAGTACTGGAATGGAGTTTTTTTTTTCTTGTGGCAGGAGAGCAAGAATTATTTTGGGGTACAGTATTGCATTTGAATACTTTTCTCAACAATTCAACATACTGCTGGTGTTCACCTCAGTCTGGCTCAAGTGGCAAGTGTTGAGATTTTTGTTGTGCCTGTCTTATTGGGATCAAAGTGATGCATAAAGACAAGTCAATTTTCTCCAAGCTTTTAAAAGTTATTGCCTTTTTAAAATTTAAAAAATCCCACTGATATGTAGAGGGCACAATTAATTAAACAAAATAGGATCAGATTTAAAGAGAGGGAAATGGGCAAATAAAACACAAAACAAAATGTCACTCTTTTCAGAGTTGAATTGTCAGCTTCACTAAATGCTCTCTGCTGTGCTGAACTCCCCACAAAAGGTATTTCGATATGTGGGGGCCAAGGACCCTCCAAATAAAATACACTGAAGGGTCTTTCCTGTGCATGTGGTCTGTCCTTTACTCTTACAAAGTCTTGTGAGTGTGATTATCTTGGGATATTTTCTATCTTAGTTAGAGACCATATATTTGTTCAGGAATAAAGGAAAAACACTTAAGCTGAATGGATATTTACTGTAAAGAATCAGGGATGGGCTATAGAGCCTGAAATGGCTCTGACTAGGAGAGAAACAGAACATTCTTCAGGAACCAAAGCTCTCCCTCCTCCTCTCTTTTGTTTGTTTTTCAGATGGGTCAAATAGAGTCATTGCAGGCCTGTCTTTAAGTCACCTTCCAGTTCAGAAGTTCGTTCCACTCATTGGATTTCCCACAATCCATTTCTAAATGCCCAGGAGAAGGAATCTGATTGGCCCACCCTGGTTCAATCAGCTGTGAGTAGGTAGGCAGGGCCAGGAACCAGTCACTCAGAGAAGCAGCATGAGCATGTCAGCTTTGGGATGTCAGGAAACCTGCCAAAGGGCCTAAGGGCTCTTCCTCCTCTCAGCAGGCAGAGTACATCAAGTTAATTTCCTCAGGAGTGCATTCTGATTAGAATATGCTATAATTAATTTCTGATGCCTGGAGAGACTGGATTAACCATCATGTTTATCCAAATCTCTTACAACCATTACACAGCAAAAGGATTCCTTTTGGGTTAGTTCTTCAAAAGATACACAAAACTCTTCAATCCACTCACTGCCACCACACACACGCCATATCCCCATCCTCCTTCCTGTCTGCCACCTCCCCTACATCAGAGAGAACTATAAACACAAAGAACATGTTATTGGCCTGATAGCAAAGAAAGTAATACTACCTCCCACTAACTTTATGCAAAACGATGTTGCTGACAATGAATATACTATGTACTGTTTGTTGAGTACTTTGAGTTTCTCAGATAGTCACTGTATAAATACAAGGTATTACTACTATTATTACCATGTTTAACATTTGGTTAACAGTAGGAAAGTTCTTTTACAGTCTTGGCTGTAAACTATAGCTATAAATTTTTCCCATCTTCTTTAAGGCAGTTCCAGAGGCTTTGAACAATGATACTAAAGTAACAATTCAAGTTCATCACTGTGCCTAATGAATAACAGCACTCTTGATTAATGGTACTTGTTCAACATCACACTGACAGAAGTATGAAGTGTAAAAAAATGGAGTTTCTGCCCACTGTGATTTTTTTCTCCATTTTTTAAAAAAACAGGCATCATCAGAGCTGAATTTTTTTAGGGCTTGATTTTTTTTATTACCTATTCGTCTATTCAACTACTGCTGTATTTTTTTATTTGACAAGTACTCTGCTTTTGTCTCATGCTGGTGCTTGCTATCAGAGTGTTATCACTCAAGAGATCTGCTGTAGGATCTGCTAAGCATCTCTGCAATCAGCAAGCCCTCTACTAGCCTAGCACCAGACCTCTTTCCAAGGTAGAAAAAAAGAGAGAGTCCGGGAGGGAAGGAGGCTGAACTTTGTTAAAAGGCACACACTGGTCACAGCTGACAAGGAAAGCCAGGTGCGAGAATATCTATCATGAAGCCATTGGTGAATTGCAGGTGACTAGAGGCATACTTCACGGTGCCTTATCAGAGTTTATGTATTTTACTAACCTTATTTCATTGGGTTGAAGCTATGCAGTTTTATGAGCCCCCCAATCCTCTACTAGTTGGAAATAAATTCCTCCTCGGCTATATATCAGAGAATGACACTGGCTGTTGGCCCATCTCTCTGGGCAAATTCACTGCCTGTATTTCTTCTTTTTCTTTCATCCTGGGGCTAGGGTGCAGGGTTGTTTCTGTATGACATGACATGCCAAGAAGGAAAAGTCTTGCAGTTCAAGGTGAGGGAGGCAGGGCAACCTGAGTACCAGCTTTAGCCTCTTGTTACATCCCTGTCTTGTAAATTGTTCAATCTGGTGGCGATTTGAATGGTTAGCACTGTTGTCAGCTATCTCTGCACTCCAGCTTTCCTCTCTCCTGGCAGGAACATCTGGGACACAGACTTTACAAACAGTAATAATAACCCTACTTTAGCTTTCACATTTTTGCAGTTGTTATTATGTCATCATGGTAAATGACCATAATTGACCCCCACAATGAAATGTTGCCAACATTCATATGAATAGCAACTGCAGTCTCACAGGCTAGCAGGCATGTGCTTTGCAAATAAAAAATTTGCTGAATAGCTGAAATCTCAGGTTCATTTGGGGACCTGAGTATTTCTGAATTACAATGGAAAACGATCTTTTTCTGAAACAGAGCAGTGCTGCATACAGGAACCGAAACAGGAGGTCAGGGGTAAGTATTAGAAGGATACTTCCAGGATTTGCAAGAGCCCTGTCTTTGGGGGCTGATTTATGTCTTTGGGGGCTGATTTAGATATGGAGTGATGAGTCATGAGACTCCAACTGAGCATAGAGTTCTTGTAATTGTATTTCTCATCTAAAGGGCACGCAAAATACGCACGCACGCACGCACGCACACAAAATTCCAGCATCACTGCCATCCCAAAGTTAGCATATATCTTTCCTGATGTTCTCCAGAGCTGCCATGCAGTGAGGACATAACAAAACAGTGAAAAAAGAATTGACAATGCCAAAACACATATCAATGCTCTGACTAGAACTGTACATTTTAATATTGTGCTCAGGAGGCAATTTCAGCTAAATTAGTCTTGACAATTTTTGACTGATTTGTTTGAGAAACCAGGACCAATTCAAGATGGTTGTTTCAATAAATGAATGAATGGGTGAATAAATTAACTAAATCTATTTTCTCCTATTTCTTGAGAAATCTACTTTATTACAAAATGCCTATTTTTATCATAACTTTTTTTTTTCAAACTAGGCTTGTTACCCTAAAATAAAACAATCTAACACAGAAGGCAGGTACCTTGAAATTAGCTTTACATAGATTTATGTAATCTAAATAAACCTTCTTGATTCAGTCATTATTATCCAGATCTAGTTAAAATCACTCACACAGGATTTTGAAACCTGCCTCAAAGTCTTCTCTTAATCTCCCCTCATGTTTCTGAAACAAGCTTCTCTCCAGTTCTCTCCTGTGTTTAATGAGAACACTTTTGGGAAGAATAACCAACAATCTCAGATCATTGTTGTTGGCACAGAAATTAAGGGAGATCAGAAATTTCTCATTATATACAGAACATAATGGAAATTATTCAGCTAATGATTCTCAAATTATAGGCAAATTGAGAAAGAATCTTGCCTAGACAGTCAAGATTCTTTGATGAACTATTTACAGGAGTAGGTTTCCTGTGACACAAAGAGGCATGTCGCCAGGATGACCTAAGATAACCACTTCCACCATCCTGAAACTTCTCCCTATCTCCTATTCCTAAACTTCTCCTTATCTCCTATCTTCTATTGACCAATGGCTCCATATGGTCAATGACCGCTCAGAGTGGGTCAAAGCCCCATAGTATTCACCACTCCTCCCCTACCCTCCACCCAACCACATAATTACATTTGCTCCTTTAGTCCTATCTCTCTCAATACAACCAAAATTCCCTATTATAAGAGTGTGGCAAACCTAGACATTACCAGAAAGCTCATTAGATTTATTTTTTTTTACACTGGGCTGTAAATAGCTGTAATTCTTCTAATAAATATTTTTAATTTTGTAAAGGGATTTAACCCAATTGAATCTCTTATTTTTTAAAAGAATGATCAGACATATTTTGTTTAGGGAGTACTTGTGGACAGGACATTCCCCTGGTTCTACTCTAGCATGCTAAAATCAGCAACTTGATACTCTATTTTTGAAAAGTTCTCTGACTTGGATTTGAATTTCAAAGCCCAAATTAAAGTGTCTTAATCTTCTTAGTTTTACTCCAAGGCTAGCTAAAAACAAACAATAAAGGCAGAAGCAGAATCATGTAACTTTTTCTAAATTGCATTTATTGTTTTACTTTTTCTCTTCTTATTTTTACCCGAACAGAAAGGAGCTGGGAAAGGAAAGGCCAAAGAGCAGACAGCTACTAACTGTTGACCAAGTAAGGCCTGGCAAGTCTCCAGCTGGACTGGTCTTCGTTGTGAGTCATAGAGGTTCTCTTCGTTGAATTTGCAAGTAAAGAGGAGGGCGTGAAGGTGTTTTTGTTTATATTGAATTTTTGAAGTCTGTGGGTTCTATTATTAACTCAGTTTTATGTAGTTTTGATTAGGGAAGACTTTAGACAGCACGGACCTTTCCAGTGTGAAGGAGTCTTCTTCTCATGTGACCACGAGACCATCTCATACACCTTTTCTGTGTCCCAGTCTGCTTCCTCAACCAGTGGATTTAATAAATAGCTAGGTGTACACATTATTCAAATATGCAAAGAAAATTAAGCCTTTTATTTAATATCTTAAAAAGATGCTTATTAACATAAATGACTGTCTTATTTTTGAAATGTGTCATCATTTTTTATGAGTTAATCTTACTTCTTGAACATCCACCCTATTAGTTTCATATGTGAGAAATAGTATATCTTACTGTCTTCCAGTTTAACATTATCTTTCATTTCAAAGTAGTGGTCTGGGTTGCATGATGTCTTCCAAAGCTTTTCTCTCATCTCAAATGATCCCAAGGTAATGCTGGGGCATAGGAGGAGGTGGGCTATATTACTCTGTGAAGGTTAAAGAAAGGAGGAGAAGGAGGAGAAAGTAATGGATTTGTAATCACAGTTCCTAATGCTGTACTCTGGATCTTGGAAAGATTTGGTTGAGGAGTGGCTGATCCAGGCTAGTCTTGTCTAGTTTCTAGTGCCCTTTGCAATAACTGCTGAGACCATGTTCCCATGGCTGATGTTCATGGTCCACTCGATTTGCTTCTGGTCTGAAATATTTGAAACTTCATCACATCTTTTTCTAAACTCCAGGCCTCTGCTGGTTTATTGACCATCTCAGCCTCTCTCTCTCCCCTCACCAAGGCTTATGGATACTTCTAGATTATCTATGTTATGAGCAGCCACGATAAACCTAGAGTGCTGCCTCATGTTTAAATAAACATGCCTTCTATCATGTTTATTATTGAAAACGGTTCAGGAATAAAAGTTTGGTTTCTGGAAGCTTGGATCTTCCCCCTTCAATAGTTCCAAGAAAATAGGCCACTAGCACAGATATCCTAAGATTTATTCATTTCTCTCTGGATGTTTCTATCTACTTGACCAATTTACCATATTAGTCTGTTTTCATGCTGCTGATAAAGGCATACCCAAGACTGGGCAATTTACAAAAGAAAGAGCTTTATTGGACTCACAGTTCCACATGCCTGGGGAGGCCTCACAATCATGGCAAAAGGTAAAGGCACATCTCACATGACAGCAGACAAGAGAAGTGAGCTTATGCAGGGAAACTCCCATTTTTAAAACCATCAGATCTCATGAAAGTTATTCACTGTCACAAGGACAGCATGGGAAAGACCAACCTCAGTGATTCAATTATCTACCACTGGGTCCCCCTCACAACATGTGGGAATTCAAGATGAGATTTGGGTGGGAACACAGCCAAACCACACCATTCCACCCCAGTCCCTCCCAAATCTCATGCCCTCACTATTGAAAACCAATCATGCCTTCCCAACAGTCCCTCAAAGCCTTAACTCATTTCAGCATTAACTCAAAAGTCCATAGTTCAAAGTCTTATCTGAGACAAGGCAAGTCCCTTCTCCCTGTGAGCCTGTAAAATCAAAAGCAAATTAGTTACTTCCTAGATACGATGGGGATACAGGCATTGGGTAAATACAGCTATTCCAAATGGGAGAAATTGACCAAAACAAAGGGGCTACAGGCTCCATGCAAGTCTGAAATCCAGTAGAGCAGTCAAATCTTAAAGTTCCAAGATGATCTCCTTTGACTCCATTTCTCACATCCAGATCACAATGATGCAAGAGGTGAGTTCTCATGGCCTTGGCCAACTCTGCTTCTGTGGCTTTGCAGAGTACAGCCTCCCTCTCGGCTGTTTTCACAGGCTGGCATTGCATGTCTGTGGCTTTTCCAGGTGCAGGGTGCAAGTCGTTGGTGAATCTACCATTCTGGGGTCTGGAAGATGAGGCCCTCTTCTCATAGAGGCAGTGCCCCATTAGGGACTCAGTTTGGGGATCTGACTTCACATTGAGCCTGCTTCTGCAGCAAACTTCTGCCTGGATATCCAGGCATTTCCATACATCCTCTGAAATCTAGGCAGAGGTTCCCAAACCCCAGTTCTTGACTTCTGTGCACTGGAAGGCTCAACCCCATGTGGATGCTGCCAAGGCTTGAGGCTTACACCCTCTGAAGCCACAGCCTGAGGTCTATGTTGGCCCCTTCAGCCATGGCTGGAGTGACTGGGACACAGGTCACCAAGTAAGTCCCTACACTGCACACAGCATGGGGACCCTAGGCCCGGCCTACAAAACCACTTTTTCCTTCTAGGTCTGTGGGCCTGTGATGGGAGGAGCTGCCATAAAGACCTCTGACATGCCCTGAGACATACCCCGTTGTCATGGGGATAAACATTGGGCTCCTAGTTACTTATGCAAATTTCTACAGCTGGCTTGAATTTCTCCTCAGAAAATAGGATTTTGTTTTCTATTGCATTATTGGGCTGCAAATTTTTTAAACTTTTATGCTCTGCTTCCCTTATAAAACTGAATGCCTTTAACAGCACCCAAGTCACCTCTTGAATGCTTTGCTGCTTAGAAATTTCTCCCACCGGATACCATAAATCATGTCTCTCAGGTTCAAAGTTCCACAAATCTCTAGGGCAGGGCAAAATGCTGCCAGTCTCTTTGCTAAAACATAATGAGTCACTGTTGCGCCAGTTCCCCAAAAGTTTCTCATCTCCATCTGAGACCACTCAGCCTGGATTTCATTAACCATATCACTATCTGGCATTTGGTCAAAGCCACTAAACAAGCCTCGAGGGAGTTCCAACCTTTCCCACATTTTCCTTTCTTCTTCTGAGCCCTCCAAACTGTTCCAACCCCTGCCTGTTACTCAGTCCCAGAGTCACTTCCACATTTTTGGGTATCTACAGCATTGCCCCACTCTCCTGGTATCAATTTACTGTATTAGTCAATTTTCACACTGCTGATAAAGATATACAAGAGACTGGGCAATTTACAAAAGAAAGAGGTTTATTGGATTCACAGTTCCACGTGGCTGGGAGGCCTCACAATCAGGGTGGAAGGTGAAAGGCATGTCTCACATGGTGGCAGACAAGAGAAGAGAGCTTGTGCAGGGAAACTCTCATTTTTAAAACTATCAGATCTCATGAGACTTATTCATTATCACAAGAACAGCATGAAAAAGTCCTGCCTCCATGATTCAATAATCTCCCACCAGATTCCTCCCACAACATGTGGGAATTCAAGATGAGATTTGGGTGGGGACACAGCCAAACCATATCATTCCCCAACTGCATTCAATGCTGCTCCCCAAATTTGACCTGGAATAGGAAGCCTGGATGCATGTATCTCATGGCACACTTAAACTTCTCTCTCTTACAGGTATTTCAGCTCCCCTTGAGTGGGAAGGGCTGGGTTTTTAACACATAGCATGATGAATCCATACTGATTCTGGTAGATGGTGTTGAATATTTTTTGTAGATAAAGAGATAGGATTTACTAGTGGATTGCATTTGGGATGTGAGAAAAAATAAAGATAATTACAAAGGTTCTAGACTGAAAAGGGAAAGGACAGATGGGGAAGACTGGGAAGAACAGAAGTGAAAGGGGAAGGTCAGTTGTCCAGTCTTGGAAAATTACCTTAAATCTTTCAATGTCAGGATAAAACACAAATTGAGCCCTTGATTCAACTGCCCAGATACATTTTCAACTCTCCAGCAAATGGGATTTGATATAATAATATTCATCATAATAATAACAGTAGCTAACTCTTACAGATTACTTATGAAGTTCCAGGCACTATTCTAGCCACTTATGTAAGTTTCCAGCTAGAATGTATAGAAGTGCCAATGTTCCTAGGTTTCAGCTAATGGGATGTAAGTGGAGATGATGTGTATAAATTCTGGATCATTGCTAACTTGAAGACAAGTTGGCTTTCCTGGACTTTGGCTCTTATTTCCATGAATAAGACTGTTTCTGAGCCAATAATCCAAATCTCAACTTTGCAAATGATGATGGAGGCGCGTAATAAAAGTAACCCACCAGCCTAAAAGGTTATACAGAACATCTACACCGCCATTCTAGACTAGCCTGGCACATTAGATATAACTAAACTTTTATTTGTTCAAGATAGTATGGTATCCTTTTAAATAGAAACACAACATTTACTCTAATTAATAAATGCAATTTTCTGAGGTAAAGTGATAGTAACATTAGCCAGGCACAAGTAGAATTTTATATTTTTATATATTTTTATCATTATAAGACAGTAAATTTCTATATTAAATCTGGGCAGCTGTTTGCCAGTCAGAACCTTTCTCTATTCCCCCTGCCCTCACTCCCACCCAAGCTGTTAAGAAAGGCAATATTCAAGGCCTGGTATATGGTCAGTTGTACACATTATGTATTCAACACATTTAATTATTATCATTATTGGGCACTATTTCATTACTGAATTTCTAGAGCAAAGCCACTTTTCTCAATTTTCCCACTAATTCTCAGTCTCTTGCCCTGACTATGAAAAGAGAACCACAGTTTTTTACTCAGCTCTTACAGCACTCACCAAAAGGATATGGAAATTTTTGCTTCATTAGATACTCACAGCTTTCTCTTTGTCCCTCCTGTTCTATGCTGCAAAGAACAACCTGTAATAAGTTGCTCCCACTTCACAACCAAAAATAAAATCTTCTTTTAAACTGAAATGCTTTAATTTCAACTGTGATAATGCCAAATTTGGCACAAACTATGATAAATTAACTATTTCAACCTCAAAATCTCCCAAAAACATTAGATCAAAGAGGATGTTTAAAATTCAGGCAACGTTCTACTGGGGGAAAACATTCATGTAGTAAAGAAGACCCTAACAATTAGGTATCTAGATTCCACTTTTCCCATTTCTTCTGTTACCATCACACCCCAATACCTAATTGCTTTACTACAACTGTAAGAAATTAGTCTATCCATGACTTTTACAGCTCTTGTTGTAAGCATCATTCATTCAGAATTTAGAATGTCATTAGTATTATAGTTATTTATCTTTTTGAATGCAGATTCTGTCTCTTCATTAATCTTGGAAGATGGGAACCAACAGATAATATGATATAGCCCTAGTTTGTACCATAGCCACTCCCTGGATACAGTGCAGTGTGCTTGGGCAGGGTGTATTGAGCATCATATACATAAAGGCTGTTCTCATATAGCCCCAGTGTTTCTGGGAAACAGAGTTTAGAAGGGAAACCTGAAAGAAGAGGGGACACAATTCTCCACTAAACACACGTGTGCACTCACACACATGAAAATGTATGCATGTAGGTGTTTGTGTAATTTAGTGGTTAATAAAGGTAAAGGAGGTCTACAATTTTTTTCTCTAGCAACCAGTGTTTTAAGTTTATGCTAATCCCCTCAGTATATTTCTTGAATGATAGTTCTTAATTTAATAGGTATTACTTGAATTTAATGATCTCAAGAACACGAGATCAGAAGACTTGTATCTAATATCTAACAAGTTATGGGGAGAATTTTATGAGTATAAACAGCATAAATAAGATTTTTTGTTTCTACCATATATTCAGTGGAAAATATTTTAAATCTTCTTTTCCCATGTACTTTGCTGAATCCTAGTGATCAGGTTTGCTGTCTTTTATTTTTGTTATTTTTTTGTTTGTTAACTGTCAAAAATTAACTTTGTAGTATTCATCTCTGTGAAAAATATGGAAAATGATATTACTATAATTTATCTCAAAATCTGGAAATGGCATGTACCAACATGACATTGCTAACATTTTTATATAGATATCATTTTACATAGATATCATTGTAAAGGTAGAGGTCAGGACAACTCAAGCAACACAAAAATAAATCTTCAATAAAAAACTCATCAGAATGAAGGTCATTTTTCCTTTTTAAGGTAGTGGTGCAGAGTAGTGTCTTTAAAGTTAATTTTGTAAATTATCACAAAGGCAACATAGCGAGTAGGTTTAAAAAAAATAAAACCAAGCTCTGTAACCAGACTGACTGGATTTGAATCCCAGATTTATCACTTACTAGTTGTTAAAACTAGAGCATATCACTTCTCTTTTCTTCCATTTCTTCAACTGGAAAAATAGAAGAAAAATAGCCTCTATCTCACAGAGTGGTTCTGAAGATTGAGTAAATGAACATATGCAAAACATGAAGCACATGGTAAGAGCTCAGAGAATATTTGCTATTACCTGGGGATAAATTATGCATTCAGATTATAGGCAGCAAGTACTCTGTACACTTCAAGTGCTGAAATCTCTATTTGACTTTTCATTTTCTTGGTTTTTAATTTTTAATTAATATATAATACATGCATATATTTATGGGTTACGTGTGATTATGCATGCAATGTGTAATGATCGTATCAGGGCATTTAGGCTAGACATCACCTTGGACACATCATTTCTTTGTGTTGGGAAGACTTTAGTGTTTTTTTCTAGCCATTTTGAAATATATCATATGTTGATGTTAACTATAGTCACCCTAAAGTGCTATCCAACACTAGAACTTATTCCTTTTACCTAACTGTATGTTTTTACCCCTTAACCAAACTTTCTTCATCCTCCCCTCCAACAACAGCCTCTGGTAACTTTCTGTCTACTCTCTACCTCCATAACATCAACTTATTTAGCTCTAACATATGAACGACAACATGCAATATTTACAGTATTAGTCCATTTTCATACTGCTATGAAGAAACACCCAAGACTGGGTGATTTATAAATAAAAAGAGGTTTAATGTACTCATAGTTCCATATGGCTAGGGAGGCCTCACAGTCATGGCAGAAGGCAAAGGAAGAGTAAAGGCATGTCTTACATGGTGGCAGGCAAGAGAGTTTGTGCAGGGGAATTGCCCTTTATAAAACCATCATGTCTCATTAGACTTATTCACTATTATGAGAACACCATGGGAAAAACGCACCCCCATGATTCATTTACCTCCAACTGGGTCCCTCCCATGACATGTGGGAATTGTGGGAGCTACACTTCAAGATGAGATTTGGGTGGGGACACAGCCAACCCATATCAATTTGTTTCCCTGGTTCTGTGTCTTATTTCACTTAAGATAATGACCTCTAGTCCTATCCATTTTGCTACAAATAACATGATTTCATTTTTTATGCCTGAATAATACTCCATCATGTATATATACTACATTTTTCTTTATCCATTTATCTACTGATGAACATTTAAGTTGATTCCATATCTTGGCTATTGTGAATAGTGCTGCAAAAACACCAGGGTGCAGGCATCCCTTTGATATACTGATTTCCTTTCCTTTAGATAACTAATTAGTAGTGGAATTGTTGAATTATATGGTAGCTCTATTTTTAGTTTTTTGAAAAACCTCCATACCATTTTCCATAGTGCCTGTACTAATTTACATTCCCAAGAACAGTGTATAAGAGTTCCATTTTAAAAGAGGAAGTGAAATTGTCTCTGTTTGCAGATGATATGCACGTTCTGCACATGTAACCCAGAACCTAAAGTATGATAAAAAAGAAGATTCAAAAAAAATTTTTTGTGTGAAGAATGTCTTTGGTATTTTGATGGAAACTGCATTTAATGTATAGATTGCTTGGGTATTATGGTCATTTTAACAATATCAGTTCTTCCAATCCATCAGCATGGGAAGTTTTTCCATTTGTTTTTGTCCTCTTCAATGTCTTTCATCAATGTTTTGTAGGTTTCCTTGTGGTGGTCTTTCAACACCTTGGTTACATTTATTCCTAGGTATTTTTTTTTTTGTAGTATTTAAGATGATTTTGCTTTCTCAATTTTTTTTTCAGCTAGTTTGTCATTCATGTATAGAAATGCTACTGATTTTTGTACGTTGATTTTGCATTCTGCAATTGTATTCAATATGTTTATCAGTTCTAAGAGGTTTTTGGTGGAATCTTTAGATTTCTCTAGATATAAGATTATTTCATCTGCAAAGAAAAACAATTTGACTTCTTTTTCAATTTGAATGTTTTTGTTTCTTTCTCTTGCCTGATTGCTCAGGCTAGATCTTCCAGTACTATGTTAAATAGGAGTGATGAAAGTAGGCATTCTTATCTTCTAGTTCTTAGAGGAAAGGTTTTCAGTTTTTCCTTATTCAGTATAATGTTAGCTTTGGGCTTGTCACACATGGCCTTTATTATGTTGAGGTATGTTCCGTCTATTCCTAATTTGTTGAGCGTATTTATCATGAAACAGTTGAATTTTATCAAATGCTTTTTCTGAGGGATATTGGCCTGTAGCTTTCTTTTTTTGTTATGGTCTTGTCTGGTTTGGATATCAGGGTAATGCTCACATCACAGAATGAGTTAGAAATAATTCTCTTCCACCTTTTGGATTAGTTTGAGAAGAACTGGTATTGGTTATCATTTTTAGGTTTGGTAGAATTCAGCACTAAAACCATTAAATCCTGGGCTTTTCTTTAATGGGAAATTTTTTAAATTACTGAATTGATTCACTATTTATTATTGGTTTGTTCAGGTTTTCTATTTCTTCCTGGTTGAATCTTGGTGGGTTGTGTGTGTCCAGGAGTTTATCAATTTCCTCTAGGTTTTCCAGTTTGTTAGCATACAGTTGTTTATAATAAATACTTTCTGATGAACCTTTGTATTACTGTGGTATTTATTGTTATGTCTTCTTTTTCACTTCTGATTTTGTATATTTTGGCTTTCTATCTTTTTTCTTGGTTTGCCTAGCTAGCATTTCACCAATTTTGTGTATTTTTAAAAGAAACAACTTTTCATTTTTTTGATTCTTTGCAATCTTTTAGTCTCTATTTTGTTTAGTTCTGCTCTAAACTTTATTATTTCTTCTACTAATTTTGAGTTTGACTTTTTCATGCTTTTCTAGTTCTTGGAGTTGCATTGTTGGGTTAGTATTTCTACTTTTTAAATGTAGGCATTTCTTGCCATAAACTTCTCTTTTAGCACTGCTTTTTCTATATTCCATAAGTTTTGGTATGTTATATTTACATTTTAATTTGTTTCAAGATTTAAAAAAAAAATTGTTCTGAATTTCTTCATTGGCCCAGTGGTCCTTTAGGAGCATGTTGTTTAATATCCATGTGTTCATATGTGTTCATACAGTTTCCAAATTTCCTCTTGTTATTGATTTCTAGATGTAGTCCTGAAAAAAATACTCCATATGATTTTGATTTTTAAAAATTTATTGAGACTTATTTTATGGCCTAACTTATGGTTAATCTGAAGAATGTTCCATGTGCTGATAAAAGGAATGTATATTCTGCAGCTTTTGGATGAAAGGCTCTGTAAATATCTGTTTGGTATATAGCACAATTTAAATCCAATGTCTCCTTATTGATTTTCTGTCTAGAGGATGATCTGTCCAATGGTGAGAGTGGGGTGCTGAAGTCTCCAACTATTGCTGTGGTGGAGTCTCTCTCTCCCTTTAGGTATAATAATATTTGCTTTGTAGATCTAGGTGCTCCAGTGTTGGATGCATATATATTTAGTATTGTTATATCCTCTTGCTATATTGATCCTTTTATCATTATATATTTACTTTCTTCATCTCTTTTGACTGCTTTTGACTTAAAGTTTGTTTATTCTGAAATATGTGTAACTACTCCTTCTTGCTTTTGGTTTTTATTTGCATGGAATATCTTTTCCCATCCCTTCAGTTTCAGTCTATATGTGTCTTTATAGATGAAGCGAGTTTCTTGTAGGCAGCGTATGGTTGAGTTACATTCTTTTTATCCATTCACTAAGTCTATATCTTTTAAATGGGGAATGTAATTTATTTACATTCAGGGTTATTATCGGTAGGTAAGGACTTATTCTTGTTCTCTTTTTAATTGTTTGTTGGTTTTCTTGTATTTTACTTTGTTCATTTCTCTCTTATTGTTATCATTGCTTTTTTATTTTATTTTTTTTTTTGCATTGGTAACATTTAAGTCTCCTATCTTTATCATTTGTGTGTTTGCTCTACCAGGGAGTTTTATCTGTTTGTGTGTTTTCATGATGTTAGATCTAGTCCTTTTGCTTCCAGATGTAAGATTCCCATAGGCATTTATTGTAGGGCTGGTCTGATGGTGATGAATTTTCTGATATTTCTTATCTGGGAAAGACTTCATTTCTCTCTCACCTTTCAAGAATAGCTTTGCTGGACATAGTATTATTGGCTGTCAGGTTTTTTTCTTTCAGCACATTGAATATGTCATCTCATTCTCTCCTGGCTTTTAAGGTTTATGCTGAGAAATTTGCTATTTTTGATTGGGGTTCCCTTATATGTGACTTGATGCTTTTCTATTGCTGTTTTTATAGTTTTTTTTTTTTGTCTTTCACTTTTAACAGTTTGACTATAATGTGCATTGGAGAAACCGTTTTTGGATTCAATATATTTGGAGCTCTTTGAGCTTCCTCTATCTGAGTATCTATATCTTTTGCAAGACTTGGGAAGTTTTCAAATGTTACTGTGTTGAATAGGTTCTCTGTCTTTCTCCATCTCTTCTCCTTCTGGAATACCTAAAAATTAAATATTTGGTTGCATTATGGTGTCCCTTACATCGCATGGGCTCTGTTCATTCTTTTTATTCTTTTTTTTTTCTCCGACCAGATTATGTCAAAAGAACTGTCTTCAAGTTCACAAATTATTTTTTCGGCTAGATCTAGTCTATTGTTGAAGCTGTCATTTGTATTCTTATTTTAGTTATTGGACTTTTCAGTCCAAGATTTTCTGTTTTGTTCATTTTTATGATACATATCTCTGTTGAATTTTTCATTCAGATCATGGATTGTTTTTCTGATTTCTTTGTATTGTTTGATCTGTGTTCTCTTGTATCTCACTTAACTTCTTTAATATTATTTTGAATTCTCTTTTGGGAATTTAGTGATTTATTTTTATTGAAATCTGTTGCTGGAGAATTATTGTGTTCTTTTGGATGTGTCATGTTTTCTTGTTTTCTCATGTTTCTTATGTTCTTATGTTAATATCTGCACATTTACTCACATCTTCCATTTTTTTTTTTTGGATTGGCTTTCATAAGGCAAGACTTTTTCGTATATATATGTTTATAATGTTGGTTTGGTAGGGCACCTTAGTTTTTATTCTGGGTGTACATATTAGTGTATTCTCCATATGACTTCTTCAACTATAATCAGCATCAGTGGTGTCTCTTAGTTCCTCAATGGCTTAGGCTGCATTTGCTAGTGGAGGCCACAGTGAGGTTTTGCTGGGGATAAGAACACCAAGTGGATCAGTCTTTGTGCTCCAGTGGTGATGTCAACAGGACAAATGTGCCCATCCTTGAAACCCTTGGTGATGTATGCAAGCATTGGTGTTAGCAGGTTGAAGCAGGCCTATCTTTGGGCCTCCAAAAAGCTTACTTGGATGCTGAAAGTGGCAGCAGCACTCAGGAAGGTGAGATAGTCCTTGAGGCCCTAGGTGGTGTGCGTGGTATCAGCAATGGCAGTAGCAGTGGTGAGCCAACTGTCAGGCCCCCAGGCAGCATGTAGGAGAACAAGCAATGGTGTTGGTGGGTTGGGTAGGCCAGTTCCCAGGCCCTCAGGTTTCACATGGGGGCGGGTATTGATGGTGGTGGTAGTGGCAGGCTGATGGGCCCATCCTCAGGCCCTTGGGAGAAGTGCACAGGTGTTGGTGGTGGCAGTCAAAGAGGTTGATCCTCAGGCCTACAGAAAGCACTCAGGCACTGGTAGCAGGCTTGCTGGGTCTGTTGTTAGGCCTCCTGGTGGTACGCATGCATACCAAAAATGGCAGGTAGGGTAGGTTGATCCTCAGGTCACCAAGCAACTTGCTCAGGCACTGACTGAGGTGTTGCTGGGCAGGATGAACCTGTCTTCAATCCCAGGGATGGTGTACCTGTAGGCTATTTCCTTGACCCACTGAAGGTGCATGGAGGTACATGGTAGCCCTGCTGCTGGAGGGGCACTTGGGGTTGCTGTCAGTGGCTGTGACCCCTGGAAGGCAGCTCTCAGACTCTAGGGAGTGTGCACTTTGTCTCTATTTGTCCCAGCAGCAGCCTTCCTGGTGGGCTGCGCCTCCCTTTTCCCAGGGTGTAGGACACTGCATGGGCTAAAGTGCTGGGGACTCAGCTGTGTTGGGTCCAGCTGGTGTCATGATGCTTCAGTTCTCTAGATGGGTGGAGGGATGTCAGTGGAGTTCCAGGACTGTGGAGATTCAGGGGCTTTTGGGCCCTAGGGCAGGATGTAGTCTGGTGGGGACTGGGCTCTCAAAATGGTGCTGTACTATCTGTTTGGGTCTCAGGGGGTGTGTTGGGACCAAGTATGAACTCCCTCTCTAAAGCGATGTAATTCTGTGAACTTCTGGAAGCTCCCTATCCTAGTCTCTGGGTCTGCAAGGGCCAAGGGACTCTCTTGCTGCTAGGATTGCCAGAGTCCATGGTGGGAATGTGGACCACTGGGATTCCCTCATTTACCTTTTTCCAACACTAGAGACCCTTTCTTGGCTCCCAGCCAACCCTGGCCAGGACAGGTGCTTCACTTCCATCTCTTTCCATGTCTCAGATATTCCCTGTCACTTTCTTACTGAATTCTAGTGTTATTTCTTAATCTATTCTATGTGTGCTTATCTATTTGCTGTTTTGGTTCTTCTTTGTAAAGGAGGTGAGTGTTGGGAGGCCCTAGTCAGCCCTCTTGAAACCCCCCATTTGACTTTGCATTTTCTGATGAGAGCACATACATCAAAATTTTTGTCATGTTGTAAGTTTTATTTCTTTCTTGTCATCTCCAGATGAATTGTACTTTACGAAGAAAATAACTACAATAAATACTGCAACCAGAAGACAGAAGAAATCTACAGTGATTCTTCTTTTTAGAAAAGTGTTAAGCAACGATTTGAAAAAATTTTTTGTACTTAATATTGCATCTTATTGCCTGCATATTCAGTTTTTAGGAAGATTGATTTAAGAGATAAACCTAAGGTTAATTGTAAAATAGGAAAAAATGGTCTTATCTCCCATCATAGTATGATTTCCCTTTCCCTGGGAGACTATTCTGTGTTAGAAGACAATCCCTGTTTTAGAGGCCATCTAAGCTTGGAGAATTCCCACCAAGATGTTAATTTTGTATTATTCCTTCCAAATATAATATCATTTCTAGTGTAGTATGGACATACTATTTTGTCCACTTACTATGTACTACATTTCTTTTTTGACAACTGCCTTCCCCTCTACTCTACCTACACTTCCTACGCCCTATATAATCTTGACTTTTGATCCAGGCAACACCACTTGTCCTTGGCTAGGCCAATACCCATTCTTGAGAATTTTTAAGTTGAGACAGAGAGATGCAGGGAAATTTCTCTTCTGGAATAAAGCTGTATAACATAAACTTAATAAGCATAGGTGACTATGTTTACATCATATGGAAAAATCTAGCTTTCCAGGAGAAAGAAGAATATATAGAGATTAAGGACAGAAAGAGTTTGAGAAACATTAGAGATACTGATTCCACATGACTTATTGCGGGGAAAGGAGTGGAGAAAGGGGCCAAGCAGTTTTCCTGCCCTTCCTACTGCTGTTAGCTCTCTTTGGAGTCCAGAAAACATCTTTTATGTTCTGTCCTGCAGAATCCTCCTGACCCAACTTCCTCAACCAGCCATGCTGTGGCCATTAATTTTGTGCAAGCATGCATCAACTTATTTAGGGTACATTTATATGGTATCTCACCAAAGGCCCAAGCTCTGTACTTACTGCTTACCACCTGGAAGTGTCTCAGATGTTACAGTGTGGGAATCTGTTCCACAGTTTTGTATGTAGATTATGGAAGTATAAGGGATTTAATGCTAATTGAGCCACTGCTGAACCATGGGAGCTGCTGGATAAAGACTTTCTCCTTTTGACCTCAAGATGTATTTTATAAGTGTTTCCAGAGGTCTCAGAGAGATCGAACAGCAGTCATCCAATTCTCTGGTGCAAGTTAGGATGGCCAACTTTATAAATCTCCCTTGATTGGCTTTTTCTCCTTCCTTGTTTTATTCCCCCTGTCCTGTACTACTGTTCCCTGGCATCACAGTCTCAGATACCCTATAAAGAATCCTTCATGTCAGCCTCTACTTTCGAGGAAACTCTGGCTAAGACACCCAGCATTCTTTCAAAAAATTTCCTTTTTGTTAGATTTCAGTCATAACTAATAGTAGCGGGTTATAAGAGACTTCATTTCCAGTCCAAGTGAAATAGCACACTAACTGTGACTTTGAACAAATTAACTGGTTATACCTCATTTGTTAATATATAAAATGGTGGTATTGGGCTCACTTCTGTGGTTCCCTTCACTCCTAAGATTCTACGATTTAAAGAAAAGCCTTCATGTCTCAGAGAAATAAATCTCTAGTGGTGGCAGGCACTGAAACCACCAGTTCTTCCTGCATGTATTTTCTGTATATCAGTCCTTGTGTCCCTGGCAACACCGTGGCTGTCAGCCCTTGATTTTCATGTGTCCCATAATCCAGAACACCAGGGAGGGAACAGTGATGGTGGTACCATTTGGGAGTGGAGTTTATAAATTAATTTCCAATCTGAATCTCTCAAGCCTCTTCAAAAGAATCTTTGAAATATAATTGGTCTAAAATTAATTATATTCTCATTTTCAAAAGTCAGAAATTCTATGAAACATTCTTGGAAGTCTCTTTTGTTTTTGAAAACATGAGTCTCATGGGACTTGAAAAAGTTCCTACAACTTTTCTTAGTTTCAAGATTCTCAAATTTGGGATTTTGACTTCAGTGAATTTCCTTGTTTTCCTCTTATATCACTCACCAGACTCATTCCTAGGGGCTTTTTGTTATTAAGGTACACCCATTCTTCAGGACCTCCATCAGCTTTAGAACTCTGTACTGTGAATTGGCATCAGACTTTCTTGTCTTTGGTGAGGACTGGTTGTATCTACAATTCTCTCTACTTTGACATCTCTTAAAAGATATGAGCAGGGCAAAAAAGCAAAAAGTTCAAACAATTATGTGGCTTGAAAAAACTCCAACTAAAAAATTCTACATACTTGGTATTGAAGAAAACATGAGGATTAATGTCCTAAGTAAATCAAAATAACTGCAGATGTTGTTGAGAGCAAATTCTTGATATCTCAGACCATTCTGAAGAGTGAGCATGTTCAACATGCAGTGAGAATTAACACAGTAAAATCACGGCAAATAACTAAAGTAAGACAGTAGAGGACAGGTTTAGCTCCACCTAGTGCCTTTGGAGCAAAGAGGAAATGGTGAAATATTTGATAGTATGACAGAAAGAATGATGTTAGAGTAAGGGGAGTCTAAGTGATAAAGATTTTTAGACAGTGATGAATCTCAAATTTGTTGTTTGATCCATGTAAAATCAGAGATGTTATGAAATCCTCTTTACTCAATAGCATTGGGAATGCAGTGATTTTTAGTAAACATGAATTTGTGCATTAGCCAATAAAAACAGAAATGATCAGAAAAATTAAAATGCAGTTGAGAAATATATTTGCTTTAGAAACTCAACTGAGTAGTAAAGCGAAGACAAACAAGTTTTTGTAAAGCATACACGAGCTCTGATTATTTTTGTTAAATGGGTTTGGGATTTAGAAGATCAAAGGAAAATGCAATAGAAGCTTCTGCTGCATAACCAGTGCTGGATTGCCCAACAAGCAGACTCCTCACAGGTTTAGGTTCTCAGCCAAGCACAGGATTGGAGGAACAAAACCAAAAAGAAAAGCAGGTACGTTTTTAATGAACTTATCCAGAATTTCGAAAACTAAAAAACAACTGGAAGGAAACTATATTCATTTCCATATCAGTTTAAGCAGTGTCCTTTTAAAAGCTAAACTTTTATTTTGAATTACCTATGAAGGTGAGAGTAGGACCCAGCCTCTCCACTGATAGCTTCTGTGATGCTCTTCCCAGGGCCAGTATGGAATCTGGTGGACATTGTGACGACCTCTGAGCTGGAAAGAAGATGGACTCAAAGTAGCTCCAACCCAGCTCAGTTCCTAGTTCTGCCCAAGCTAGCATTGCCTCTAAAAATAAATGAAGAGTCTACATTCTAGAGCTCTATGTTTTATAGGTTACAGAAGATGATGAAAATGGAGACATTTCCTATCGAAATATTTTCTAAAATTATTGAGGAGAAACACAGTGATAATTCCTGTATCTAAAAATGATTGAGGACTTGATCATTTCTTGCCCTAATGTTCATAGCCATAAAAATTAAATGTTAACCAATGATGGAGACCTAACGATTCAGTGCATATTTTTTTTCTGTTTTCCTATACCACCATGTCCCCACCCAAAATTTTTTCAAACAATCCTCTTTCTTTAAGGAAACAACTGGTAGAATATATCCTGAGATATATTCTGAGGCTTTCTTATTTTCCTATAGAACACTAGGCGTTTCTTCTAGGAAGAAAGAATGGTAGGGCTGAAGCCTCTAAATCCAGTATGACTAATCCTGCACGTATTCTTTTACTGCTGAGTTTAGCTCCCAAGAAATCCTTTTATGTGTTAGTTTGGGGAAACTTGCCTATCTCATTCCTCTTGGTGATTGCTCTCTTGACTTCCTGTTGAGTTATACATTGGCTATAAATTATCCCTCACCAGAAAAGTGATCTTTTAAAACAAGAATTTTCCTTTAAGTTGTTGAAATAATTATAGGAAATGGTTAAAGATATTAATAACATTTCAGAGTTTACATCATGTGCTTTACAAAACAAATGGTCATTCTAAAGGCCAAAAAGCTGCTACTAAAATTCCAATGATATCTGGTACTGAACTAAATCCTCTAAGAAACCAGGGGACTGGCTTATTCCACAACCCACAAAATTTATCACACTCCAGGGTGTAAAGCAAGGCAAAGAACTTTATTTTCTGTGTTATGTATTTCAGTAAATATGTCTGTGTCCCTAAAAGTATATTAGTTTTAAAGGCCCTAAAGATGTTGAGTTCCCTAAGACTTCAACATTTCAGGATGATTCCAACTTGCAGAATAAAATTTATATTTTCCACAGAATTTAAACTGATTACTTCCTCAGTTTCCCAGATTTACGTTTACAGCATTTGTAAAACATTTGTAAGGTGGACAGATAGATATCACAATACTAAAGTCGTGACTTGTTTTCTTTCCTAATGAGAAGAGAGGGGAGTTAAAGAAGTAAAAAATGGGGCTCCTCTTGAAAGAAATTTGATTAAAATAGACCTATTTTATTCATAGGCTTATTTTATGTTTATACGTATATTCTGTTTCTTATAGGCTCCCCCGCCCCTGCTTAAGTGTCAATTTAGAGACTTAGCTGTAAGAAGGTTGTTAAATATGAAAGAATCAATCTTGATTTTTCTAAAACCCCTGCTGTCTTTGTTCAGCCACTCAATTTGAATCTTGTACGACATGATTCCTGAAGAAGCAAGGCTAGAGCTGGCTGGAAAAAAAAGTGACCAAGCATTTCAGCTTTTCTCAGCTCTGCTGGATAATGGAAGAGAACAGCAGCAAGACTCCTTTCTTGCCATTCAGAATTGAGGTGGGACCACCTGGGGTTTCCAGTTTTAGAATATAACTCTTTGGGCAATTAGCAAATCTCTGAGCATCTGTCTCCCATGGCATTTAGGTAAATTAATAATATTAAACATTTCTAAAATAAGAAGTGGGTTATAAGATATGCCAATGTACCACGAACATAATTTGCTCAGTTACCTTTTCCCCAAAGGAGTCTCATCAAGGTACCGTCCTACAGCATTAAATGCTTGTGAGCTCATAGACCTGAAATATCTATTTCCCACAGATTCAAGACAATGAAACTTCATTATCATGCCCCCTTATTTAACTTCAATGCCCAGGACAACGATTTGTTTTAATGTCCCAGTCTAAACCTCCTGCACCAATATTTTTTCAGATAATAGCTCCCATTCATAATGCTAACAGCTCTTGAATTCTCCACTCATTTTACAGTTAGGATCTTCTCTTTTCTTTGAGTTCCTAAGCTTTATAACTTGCTATATACAGTCCAAGCTACATTTTTTTTTAAAGCACAAATATTACATGTGGCACCTGAGATAACCAGACAATTCTAAAATCAACAGGAGCTTTGCTCTTAAGTTACATATATTTCTTTTGAGTTTTCCATAAGCAACAATAAAAGAACCTTGCTAAAATTTTCAAAATTTAAGTAAAATTCTTCTTACTTATGGTTTATAGGACTTTCAGTTTCTAGAAGTATTTATTTGTCATTTCAAGACTCTTAAGCTTCTCATTAATTTATTTTATAGCCTGAAATTTATGGAAGAAAAATTATAAAACCCTTTCCTGATATAGATTAGATAGCCTTGTATGTGTTTAATTTATGCTACATAGGCAATGTGGTAAAATAGAGTGACTTTGTGGTTCAAAGTTAATATGACCTGAATTTATTCTAAAATCACTACTTACAAAATATTTGCCTTTGGGAAAATTTTCTCATCTGAAAAGTGGGGAAATATTACCTAATTCACAAGGTTCCTATAAAGATTAAGTTTTTACAGGTATTTTCTTTTGTCTCTTGGGATTCATTATTCATGTCTCCCTTGCCAATGCAATGATTTCCATTTAGGGCCTGGTGTGGTTGCAGGGAAGATGATCTTACCCTCTGACCTGTGACCCAAGCTAAACAATCAACTTGTCTACACTCCTGGCCACAGAGGTAGTTTGAATCTCAGGACTTTTTCTGAATATGTTAGGACAAATAAATTCTTTTTCCAGCCTGACAAACCACAGAAAGGATGTAGCTTTAGGAGCTTCTGACAATCATCTTACAGCCACACAGGAGCCAACAAAAGGGTTGAATACTCAAGCCTTACTTGATGCCAAACTGACCTCCGGATGGTTCAGTTACATAACCCAATAGATTTCCTGTGTTTCAACCAGTTTGAGGAAGGTTTCTTTCTTTTAATTACTTTTGTAACTAATATGTTAAACACACATACGATATGATTAAATGTAATTTTATGTTGTTTCCTAAAGTCCCTTTACATATTATTTAGCATGTGAAAAATTTCCCCGATACCACTGTATGATAACTCCAGCAGGATTTCTGATTCCTCTGCTCACACTCAGGTAATAGAAAATCCTATAACCATTTTAAGTAATAAAACATAGTCTTCCTTCAGAAATGTAAAGTCTCAAAAGTTCAACATATTAACCAATCCTTCAGTGTTCATTCAAAAGGAAGACTTTTCCTTCTCTTTAGCCTATAGACTGGCAAGCCACCTGCCTTCTTCTCTCACCTTCTCCCCATCTCATTAGCTGTTCTCATTGTCTGATCTGGGTCACAGGTATTAGGAGGACAAAGGTCAAGGAGTTGAATGGAATGACTCTTATTTGGCTGGTGCTTAGTAATGCAGTATTCTGGCTTCCCACTCTATGGGCCATGCATCTATATGTTTTGTAGGCATACCCATGAGTTCTTCAGAATCCCCTATTAGACCTCTCTTACCACCACCTTCATGATCCACAAAAGGCATATTTTCTTTGACTCACCCTTGTTCTTTCCCCATAAGTTTCTCTTTCACTGGCCACCCTCACCATGGAGCATTCACTATTGGGATTTACTTATGCTATGATAGAAGCCTTATTGGCCATATTAGAAATAATATTTAAAGTGATAAGATCACCCACAAGAATGAAAAAGTTTAAGAACATAAGCTCATCTTTGAAAATATTCATTTGAAACCAGTTTGTATTTTTTAAAAATTATAAAAACAGTCAAACAGAGCAAGTCAAAGTGACCTGAGAATTAGTTAAAAATAGGAAGAAAAATGAAAACAGGTAACTAAAACTGAAAAACCGACAAAACTCCTTAAAGACCTTTGATATGTGGCAAGTCTGTTTTCCTGGTGCACCCAAATTAGCAATACATGAAAAAGCTAATATTCCCTATTAACTAATAGCTGGCAATATTCATTTTAAACCAGATCATTGTTTCAATTTGCTTTTGATGAAATCTCCCGGTGCCACTTATGAACCGAGGATGGCTCTGTGACCTTAGGGCTTCTCTGCCTTATGTTCTCCCTGACTTCGCAAAGCTCCTAATGGACCTATGCTTCAATTTCTTCTGCAGCTTTCCCCTTCCTAGAGACATTCCTTCCTCTGAGCTGCTACTTGTACCAGTAGTTATGGAAGCCCTAGTTATTTTCCCAAACACCTGCTCTCAGCAAAATATTATCATGCTATCTCAAATTTCCGCAGTCCGACAACCACAATTTTCAGCTCCCAATGTCAATATTTCTTTCATTCTACTTGGGAGTCAGATTGCCCCTGAAGTGTATTTTTATTTTCTTCTTTGGGTACCGTGACCTCCTTTTGGATACAACATGTGTGGCAACCTGTCTCACATCCATTTTCATCCTATAGCTTAATGGAGATTAGCATGGGATTTAAAACTTATATCCATATTTTCCTCCATATTTAAAACTTAAAACTTGGAGGCAAGCACACAAAATCTCCCTTATTTTGCTGTTCATCTTGTGATACTGAGGCAGAAGTAAACCAAGTATGGTTAATATTTTTAATTATTTGTCATGCAAATTAATAACAAATTCCATGTAAAGCATTTATTCCTTTTTCTCTCAATTTCAGTTAATTTGAAGTTTGGATAGAATGCACAGTGTATACTCAGACTTTCCATGGGTGATTACTTTCTGATTAGAAATCAGCATAATTTTCCTGGCCAAAGGACTAGGGAGGAAAGGGAGTTAAGTGCTTGTTTTCCCCAAGCACTTAAAAATATTCTTAGAAATACTCTTGCTAAAGATCTCATTATAGCCCTATAACTTTGCAGACCACCTAAATTCCTCTATGTCATGGCTCCCATATCTCCAGGAGAAGCCTTCTCAAAGAAATATCCATGAAATCCTTGGGCATTCTGAAGCCATCTTTCTCCATTACCCAAACATCAGCATCTACTGTTCCTTGGCAGATTTCACAAAGGGCTGCACACCGGGAGACGAAAAGGTAATGATGTGTGTTTGTCTTATGGGTACACTCACATTTCAAACTTGTCTACAATTCCACTAAATGAAAGGAGTTGTTAAACCATAACAAAAGCTAAATAAAAATAAACATTAAACTGTAAAATGAATAAAAACTGTCATTAGGTGTAACCTAAACAGTCTGTGTGTGGTTTCTTAGAATGACAAGTAAACAATAAACACTAAGTGTTGTCAAGTAGCTTCAACAAAAAGTGTTTCCATGCATGTGCAAATAGGGAGATGTGCTGTAGCAAGCACCAAATCACAGGAGCTTTGCGGGCAATCACACTGGCAGCAAATAAAAAGTCTCCACCTGCCAGGGTGGCCTTATTTTCCTCCTTCAGTCAGGGTGACAGAAATTCTCTCTCTCTAATTGAATATCCAGTGGCCCTTTAGTCTGCTTTTAACTGCTTATTTAACAAAGCACTTGAAGAAATTGTTGTAAGAACTAGTCCCCTTTTAGATTATTTTAGTGGCAGAACTTTTTTCAAAGCCACAAATGCAGTATCAGCATTCATAGTGTGTATTCATAATAAAAATGAAACTCCCTTTCCACTCCATAATGACAGGGTCATGCAAAAATAAATACCTGAGTTATTTGCTTATTTCCTCCTTGCCTTGAGTCAGAAACCACAGACTCCAATGCCCACTAGGACCAGGCAATTTACATAAATAAATGAAGCCAGCTGGGTGTAAGACAGAATGTGGAGAGATGGGGACTTAGGATAGCAGATAGCGTACACCTGTCCAAAAATTACAGCCGTTTTCCAATCTTTAAAATCTGGCGCTGCCCAAAGAAAACATCTCCAGGCTGAATTCAGCACACAGGGTAGATGTAGCAGGCCATTTTATCACTTTTATGTTAATTAAGTTAAAGTTAATCAGAAGAGCTTAAGAAAGCCGATATTCCATCACCTGGAGTTTTGGTTAAAAGTCCAAGTCAGGTTTATCATAAAGGAGATAAAGATCTTCCTACTCTCCTCCGACACTCCCCTCCCCACAATTAAAACAACACTAATCAGTAATAAAATAATCAAGTATATTACTAACAAAGCCACATATTTAAACAATTATGTTCTCATTTACTTGTGACCTTTACAGTAGCTTTGATTATATGTTGCAGCTATGCACTAGTCATTTTGATTCATAAAACAGACCTTTGCAGAAGAAAAGCAAAGTAATATGCATATATTATGCACTTTGAACATCTTTCAGCTGATACTGGTAAGAAACTTTTTCAACTTCATATTGTAATAAATATAATATTCATTTGATCTACTGGGAATCAAATATAAAATAATGTGTTTGTCAAAAGCTAAGTATGCTGCATTAACTTGAACTGTTTGTACTGATCTTAGCACAGAGTATCTAGCAAATACAATGTCAAAGTCCAGCTCTAAAGATATCTGTTTTCCAAATAAAGAAGCAGAGAGTATAATGAGATAGTTTGCTATAATAGGCCACAGCCTATACATATATATTCTCTCTTTTCATTATTGTACCAACTTTCTTTTCTTTTTTCTTTTTTTTTTTTGAGATGGAGGCTCACTCTGTTGCCCAGGCTGGAGTGCAGTGGTGCCATCTCGGCTCACTGCAACCTCCGCCCCTCCAGGTTTTAAGCAATTCTCTGCCTCAGCCTCCGGAGTAGCTGGGATTACAGGCACGTGCCACCACGCCCGGCTAATTTTTTGTATTTTTAGTAGAGACAGGGTTTCACCATCTTGGCCAGGCTGGTCTTGAACTCCTGACCTCGTGATCCACCTACCTCGGCCTCCCAAAGTGCTGGGATTACAGGCGTAAGCCACCGCGCCCAGCCTATTGTACTAACTTTCTAAAGGTGGTTATTATCTACATTGACAAGAACACTGAGGTTCAAGGAAGTCAAATGACTTGTGGTAGAGAAACCTCTGAAACTCATCCTTAGCCATGCAGGGTTTTATTTTCTTTAAACCATATTGATTTCCAAAGTTTGAAGGAAAAGTCTGTGCTTGCAACACTTCTTCAATATTTGGGTTCCCATTTTCTGTTAATTTTATGTATAAATTTGTGGTTACTGTCACAGAAGCAAGTCCAGACTCATTTAGAAACACTTAGATATTGTCATTTCCTTGTGCTCCTTTAATAAACTTAAACATAGCTAGTGAGTCAAGAGATAGCCTGCACTTGGTTTCCTTATGTCCCTTTGACAGATCTTAGTACATAGTTGTGAAAGAGAAGGTAGTAATTATTGAGGAGAAAGGAAGATGGAGGCAGATTTCCAGCTGATGAACTTGTCACAGGAGGATCCCTGTGGACTGGTGGAAAAGAATGGAGGCTGATTGTCAAAGAGGCTGACAGCCCTACTCCTTCCTAGGGGTTCAAGTTTATAGTAATGGAAGTAACTACACACAGTTGTAAATTCTTTCTTATAAAATTCTTGTTCTTCAGCTGCACTCCTAAGAAAAATGCTACCATGCTTATGGGGAGCTAAAACTTCACCTTTAATTCATTAGGATAAATCTGTTTATGCTTCACAAGTAGAAAGAAAGTGTCAAAGAGCTCCCTCCAATAATTTCTGACTTTTGTCTCATTTTCCTCCATATTTACTTTTTTTTTATTTCTTCTTCCTCTATTAGGCTCAAATGTTCTTTTTTGTCTTCTATATTTTTATAAATGGAATTTTAGTTTCATTTCATCTATTTCATTATGCCTCAATTTTAATCTTGTACTGATTAAAATCTTTATTAATATTCTTGGAAGAGATTTTTTTAAGAGTCTTTCTTGGCAAAATGCACCTTTAAAGTCATAAGTAGATGATATTTCTGAGTGGCTAAAACATGGGTGGCGTAACACCAATTTTGATTCATGGCCTAATTTTGACACTTGCTCTATGCCCTGGCTCTTGCCACTAACTAGCCATGTGACCTTAGGCAAGTTATTGAAACTCTCTGTGCCTTCTCTCTAACATGGTAATGGTAATAATAAATAACTTTTTGAGCACTTAAGACTTAGAATGTAAATCTCTTAGAAGAATGCTTGGTATATAGTAAATTGCTCTAAAATGTTTGCTGTTATTACTGTTAGCAATTAAGACTTTATGCGAGTTCTCCAAACTTTCTAAGATACTAGTTTTTCATCAAAAATTGGAATAAAGGTACATTCTTCATAGGTGTGTTGTATTTTCTAACAGATATAATCTATGTAAAGCAGGGTTTTCCACAAACATACTCATGTAGCGCATTCCCCGTGGTAAGTGATGCATTTATCATACAAATTCCAAACCTTGACCTCATTTCCAAGGTTCTTCAACTCCACCTCATCTCATTAACTTTCCTCCACATTAATCCCTGGGACCTTGTCAACACCAGAAAGAGAGATATGTTTATAGTTTTAGATGACAGCATTCCCACATTCTGACCACAGCTTTCTCTGTCCTGTCATTGCTCTGTCTGGTAAAATTTAATTGTCAATCTTCCTGCCCTCACATCTAAGCAACCAAGTTTTCTTTTTTTTTTTTTTTAATTATACTTTAAGTTCTAGGATACATGTGCAGAACATGCAGGTTTGTTACATAGGTATACACCATGCCATGGTGGTTTCTAAGCAACTAAGTTTTCATGGAATGGGCCATACAATGGCAAACACTGGTGCCACCAAGAGGTCATAATTTCTGACTAATTGGAAGATGGGGCATGTGCAGGCAAGAAGACAGTCATTTCCTCTCCTCTAAGCTCTCAGTCTGGGGCTATAAGTTAACCCAAGGAGACGCAGGCTACCATTTATTATACTCCCAACCCCATATTGCAGGAGCTCTATTCCAGGAAGATATGGCAGAGAAGACTGGTCTTTCTTCTCCCACTCAGCTCCAACTGCTAGGCGGGAAGCTCTATTCCCAGTGGCCACTCTCCTGTCCACTGCCCACTTATACAATGGAGTATCATTCTGGGTTCCTTCTCCCAGCTCCAGTGCAATGATAGTGGGTGGTACAGGGGTTCTGCCTAGGGGTAAAGGTAAGCCATAATGGTTAAGAGCACTGCACTTCTTCCATAGGTTCTAAATTTATTTGGAACAGAGTGAATAATTCTACACCTATGAATGTTGTTGAAAACAGTGGTAATATTGGTGGGGAACAATTGTAAGATAGGTATCTCTGATACAAGCAAGCAAGGTGATAGAGAAACTGAATAGAAAGAACCAAAGAAAGAGACAACCAAAAAGAGTCCTCCTAAGATCACAGTGAAGTCTGTGTACATGTGCTAGGCTGCACCCACTGAAAAGCAATCAGAGCAAAACCTGGGGAAGACGTGAAAACATTCCCTAAGCCACACACTGAAACACTTTATATTTAATAATAGAAATATATTAAAATTAAACTTATGAAAAAAGATATACCATGCAAATGATAACTATAAACTAGTTTAAATAGTGATAGTAATATCAGACAAAAAAGACTTAAAACAAAAAAAATTACTAGAGATTTTGTAGTCAACTCATCAGAAAGTTATAACAATTATAAACACATATGCACCTAACTACAGAACCCTCAAATACATGAAACAAATAAAGAATTTAAGGAAAAAATTGACAAATCAACACTAATAATGTGGGAGAAATCAATACCCCACTTTCAATAAGGATGAGAACAACTGGACAGAAGATCAACAAAAAAGTAGAAGGCTTGAACAACATTATAAACCAAATAGACTAACAAACATTTATAGAACATTCTACCGAACAGTAACAGAATGCACATTCTTCTCGAGGGCATATAAAATATTTTCTAGGGTAGACCATATGTTAGGCCTTAAAACAAGTTTGATAAATTTAAAAGCAATGAAATCATGTAAAGCAGTTGGAATGGAATTAGAATGCAATGGAATTAGAAACCAATAACAGAAGAATTTTGGAAAAATAATAAATATGTGAAAATTAAACATTATACTGTTAAGTAAACAATAGATCAAAGAAGAGACCAGAAGGGAAATTTAAAAATACTTTCAATGAATGAAAATGAAAACATGCCCTACCAACACTATGAAATATAACTAAGGCAGTGCTCAGAGAAAAATTTATAGCTGTAAACACCTATATTTAAAAAGAAGAAATATCTCAAATCAATAACCTAATTTTTCACAATAGAAACTAGAAAAAGGAGAGCTTATTGAACCCAAATCAAGGAAAAAGAAGAAAATTTTAAACACCGGCATGGAACTAAGTGTGATAGAGTATTTTTAAAAAGTTTAGAAAATCAACAAACCAAAAGCTGATATTTTGAAAAGATCAATAAAGTTGATAGATCTTTAGCTAAATTGATTAAGAAAAAAAGAGAGGAGGTTGAAATTACTAAAATCAGAAATGAAAACGGGGGCATCACTATAGAACTTACAGAAACAAAAAGTATTATAAAGAAATACTATGAACAATTTCATGCCAACAAATTAGGTAATTAAATGAAAATGAACTAATTTCTAGAAAGACACAAAATACTGAAACTCAAGAAGAAACAGAAATTCTAACCAGGTCTGTAACAAGTAGAGATTAAATCAGTCATTAAAAATCTTCTCACAAAGAAAAGACCAGGGCCAGATGGCTTCACTCGTGAATTCTACCAAACATTCAAAGAAAAAATAATTATACTTCACAAACTCTTCCAGGAAATAGAAGAGGAGGGATCCCTTTCCAACTTATTATATGATGCCAGTATTACTCTGATACCAAAACCAAAAAGATATCACAAATATAGATGCAAAAATTTCTCAACAAAATACTAAAAAACAGTGTTGGCTTAATATTTAAAATAAATTAACATAGCATGCCATATAATCATCTCAATAGATGCAGAAAAAGCATATCCAAATCCAAAACCTATTTACAATAAAAACAATAAAAAGAAGCTAGCTTTCTCAATATGATAAAGCACACCTACAAAAGCCCCACAATTAACATCTTAGTAGTAAAGTCTAGATACGTTATCTCAATATCAAGAACAATACAGGGTGTCACACTTTTTTTTTTAATACTTTAAGTTCTGGGATACATGCGCAGAAAGTGCAGGTTTGTTATATAGGTATACACGTGTCATGGTGGTTTGCTGCACCCATCATCCCGTCATCTACATTAGATATTTCTCCTAATGCTATCCCTCCACTAGCCCTCCACCCCCCGACAGGCCCCAGTGTGCGATGTTCCCCTCCCTGCGTCCATGTGTTCTCATTGTTCAACTCCCACTTATGAGTGAGAACATGTGGTGTTTGGTTTTCTGTTCCTGTGTTAGTTTGCTGAGAATGATGGTTTCCAGCTTCATCCATGTTCCTGCAAAGGACATGAATTCATCCTTTTTATGGCTGCATAGTATTCCATGGTGCATATGTGCCACATTTTCTTTATCCAGTCTATATTTAATATTGTACTAGAGGTTCTGGCCATGGAAATTATACAAGAATAGAAATACAAGGCTTCCAGATTAGAAGGAAAAAAATACTATCTTCATTTGCAGATGAAATGGTCTTGTATGTAGAAAATCTTTGGGAGCACACAATCACATACACACACACACACATCCCCTATTAGAACTAAAAAAAATGAGTTCAGCATGATGGCAGGATATAAGAGCAATATGTAAAAATCAATTGTATTTCTACACACTTTCAGTAAACATTTTAAGAATGAAATTAAGAAAACAATTCCAGGCCAGGCACGGTGGCTCACGCCTGTAATCCCAGCACTTTGGGAGGCTGAGGTGGGTGGATCATGAGGTCAAGAGATCGAGACCAACCTGGCTAACACGGTGAAACCCCGTCTCTACTAAAAATACAAAAAAAAATAGCCAGGCATGGTGGCGGGCGCCTGTAGTCCCAGCTACTCGGGAGGCTGAGGCAGGAGAATGGTGTGAACCCAGGAGGCAGAGCTTGCAGTGAGCCAAGATCGCACCACTGCACTCCAGCCTGGGCGACAGAGCGAGACTCCGTCTCAAAAAAAAAAAAAAAAAAAAAAAAAAAAAGAAAACAATTCCAGTTATAATAGCATCAAAAACTAATGTAGGTATACACATAACAAAATAAGTTAAGAACTAATACAGTGAAGGCTACAAAAATTGTTGAAACAAATTAGTCATTCTTATAACTAGAAAGATGTTCTATGATCAAAACCTAATATTGTTAAGATATTAGTACTGTCCAAATTGATCAGCAGATTTTATGCAACCATTATTGGAATACAGCTTTTTTTTTTTTTTTTTTTTTTTTTTTTGCAGAAATTGACAAACTAATCTCAAAATTATATGGAACTCAAGTGACCCAGAATAGCCGGAAAAAAAACTTGAAAAAAAGAGAACACAATTGGAGGGTAACATTTCCTGATTTCAAAACTTTACAAAACTATAGTAATCAAGACACTGTGAAAATGACATAAGGATAAACACACAAATCAATGGAATAGAATTTAGAGTCCAAAAACAAACTCTTACATTTATGGCCAGCTGATTTTTGACAAGGGTGCCACGAAAATCCAATGAGGAAAAAAATAGTCTTTTTAACAAATGGTGATGAGATAACTGGATATTTACTAGCGAAAGAATGAAGTTGGACCCGTACTCCCACTATACACAAAAATTAACCCAAAGTGGATCAAAGACCGAAATGTTACAGCTAAAACATGAGAAAACATAGGTGTAAATCCTTATGACTTTGTGTTAGGTAATGATTTCTTAGATACAACACCAAAAGCACAAGCAACAAAAGAAAAAAATAGATAAATGGAATTACATCAACATTAAAATCTTTGTGATGCAAAAGATACCATCAAAAAAATGAGAACATAATCCTACAGAATGGGAGAAAATATTTACAAATAATATATCTGATAATGGATTTGTACCCAGAACATGTTTTTAAAGGTCTTTAAAATTCAATAATAAAAAGACAAACTTATTTTAAAACAGGCAAAAGATTTCAACAGACATTTCTCCAAAGATACATAAATGGCTAATAAGCACATGAAGATACTCAACATCAATAGTTACCACAGATATGCAAATCAAAATCACAATAAAATATAACTTCACATCCACTAGGATGGCTACAATTAAAACGACAGACAATAACAAGTGTTAATTCGGATATGGAGAAATTGGAATTCTTGTTAGATTATAGAAGTAATGAAAAATAATGCAACTACTTTGGAAAACAGTTTAGTAATTCCTCAAAACATTAACCATATGTTTAATAAACATTAAACATTTCATATGATTCAACAATTCCACTCCTAAGTATATACCCAAGATAAATGAAAACATACATGTATACAAAAACTTGTACACAATTATTCATAACATAGCAACATTGTTTATAATAAATAAAAAGTGGAAATAACCTAAATTTCTATCAACTGTTTTTTATTGAAATAAGTCAAAAACTTTATTGACCTATAACCTGATTAGAATATGCCAGATGAGAATCAATATTGTACAGAAAGCTGTACAAAACTTTTTTACATGGAAGACTTTACATCTGTAGCATATACATTTTATCCATCTGAAAAAAATGTCTACATCCACTGTTAATACAGAACGCTTGACAATTTTGTCTTTCAACCATCAGAGCACAATTCAACTGTTGAATGAACAAATAAAATGTGGAAGTGGTATATCCATACCATGGAATAGTACTCACTAATAAAAAGGAATGAAGTACTGAGATGTAGTGCAGTGTAATTGGACCTCAAAAATCTTACATTAAGTCAAAGAAGCCATACACAAAAGGCCACACATTTTAGGATTTCACTTATGTGAAATGTCCAGAATAGACAAAGTAATAAAGACAGAAAGTAGATTACCATTTGTTTAGGGCTCTGGATGAGGGGAAAGGGATTGACTGCTAAAGGGTATGGGATTTCTTTTAAGATGTTGAAAATGTTCTAAAATTAGATTGTTGTGATGGTTGCACAACCTTGTGAATATATTAAAAACACTGAATTGTACACTTTTAAATTGGCAAATTATATATGAATTATATTTCAATTAAACTATTTTTTAAAAAAGAAAATTATGTAATAGCCAACCTAACAAATGCATAGAAATTACAATTCCATTACATAATAATTGAGCAGTTGTAAACAAAAGACAGAGTCTAGGCTCATCAACAAATATTTCTTAGTAAATGCTTTGAGAGGGGTTTGTATTTTTTGATCCCTCCTCACTCCCCATTAAGACACATGTGCATGCAGACTCCTTTTCATTTTCTATAGTTGCCATAAATTACCACAAACGTAGTGGCCTAAAACATAAAGTTATTATCATACGGTCTGCAGATCAGAAGTCTGTAGGCTGGAATCAAGATTGTAAGCAAAGCTGCATTCCTGTCTGAAGCCTCTAGGGTAAAGACTGTTTCCATGCCTTTTACAGCTTCTGAAGACTGCCTACATTCCTTGGCTCATGGTTTCCTTCCTTCATTTAAAAAAATTTTTTTTCAGTAGCTTTTGGGGTACAAGTGGTTTTTGTTACATGAATAAATTGTGTAATGATGAAGTCTGAGATTTTAGAGCACCTGACACTTCAGTAATATACATTGTATCCAATATGTGTTTTTTATATCCCTTAATCCCCATTCTCACTATCCCACTGCTGAGTTTCTGTAGTTCATTATATCATTCTGTATGCCTTTGTGTACCCATAACTTAACTCCCACTTATAAGTGAGAATATACAATATTTGGTTTTCTATTCCTTGGTTATTTCACTTAGAATAATGGCCTCCAGCTCCATTTAAGTTGCTGCAAAAGCATTGCTTTATTCTTTTTCATGGCTGAGTAGTATTCCATGGTGTATATATACCATATTTTCTTTATCTATTCATTGGTCAGTGAGCACTTAGGTTGGTTCCAAATATCTGAAATTGTGAATTGTGCTGCCAAAAACATATGCATGCAGATGTCTTTTTGATATGACTTATTTTCCTTTAGGTGGATACCCAGTAGTGGGACTGCTGGATCAAATGGTAGATCTACTTTTAGCTCTTTAAATCTCCATACTGTTTTCCATAGAGGTTGTACTAATTTACATTCCCATGAGCAGTGCATAAGCATTTCCTTTCCGCCACATCCATGCCAACAACTACAGTTTTTTGACTTTTTAATAATGGTCATGCTTGTAGTAGTCAGGAGGTACCTCACTGTGGTTTTAATTTACATTTCCCTGATGATTAGTGATGGTGAGTATCTTTTCATGTTTTTTGGCCACTTGTATATCTTATTTTTAAAAATGTCTATTCATGTCATTTGCCCACTTTTTGATGGGATCATTTGGTTTTTTTTTTTCTTGCTGATTTGAGTTCCTTATAGATTCTGGATATTAGTCCTTTGTTGGATGCATAGTTTGCAAATATTTTCTCCCACTCTGTGGGTTGTCTGTTTACTCTGATGATTATTTCTTTTTCTGTACGGAATCTTTTAGTTTAATTAAGTCCCATTTATTTATTTTTGGTTTTGTTGCATTTGAATTTGTGGTCTTAGTCATAAATTCTTTGCCTAGGCCAATGTCCAGTCCACTTTCACCACTTCTATTCAACATAGATAGTACTGAAAGTCCCAGCTACAGCAATTAGGCAACAGGAAAAAATAAAGGGCATCCAAATTGGAAAAAAAGAAGTCAAACTGTCACTGCTCACTGATGATATGATTGCATAACTAGAAAGCCCTAAAGACTCCTCCAAAAGACTCCTAGATTTGATAAATACATTCAGTTAAGTAAATTTTACAAAATCAATATACACAAATTGGTAGCACTGCTATACACCAACAATGACTAAGCAGAGAATCAAATCAAGAATTCAATCCCTTTTACAACAGTTAAAGAAAAAAAAAGACCTAAGAATATACTTGACCAAGGAGATGAAAGAGCTCTACAAGGAGAACTACAAAACACTGCTGAAAGAAACCAGAGATTATACAAACAAATGGAGACACATCCCATGCTCATGAACTGGAAGAATCAATATCACAAAAATGACCATACTGCCCAAAGCAATCTTCAGATTCTATGCAATTCCTATCAAAATACTAACATCATTTTTCACAGAAATAAAAAAAAAATCCTAAAATTCATATGGAACCAAAAAAGAGCCTGCATAGCCAAAGAAACACTAAGCAAAAAGAACAAAGCTGGAGACATCATACTAACAGACTTCAAATTATACTACAAGGCTGTAGTTACCAAAACAACATGGTACCAGTATAACAGTAGACAAATAGACCAATGGAACAGAATAGAGAACCCAGAAATAAAGCCAAATACTTAGAACCAACTGATCTTCAACAAAGCATACAAAAACATAAATTAGGGGAAAGACACCCTATTTAATAAATGTTGCTGGGAAAACTGGCTAGCCACATGTAGAAGAATGAAACCAGATCCCTATCTCTCACCTTATACAAAAATCAACTTAAGATGGACCGAAGACTTAAATTGAAGACCCAAAGCCCTGAAACCGCTAGAAGACAACCTAGGGAAAACTCTTCTGGGCATTGGCCTTCCTCCATTTTTGAAGCCAGCAATGTAGAATCTCTCTGACTCTCCTTTCATCATCACATGGTCTCTAAACACAGGCAGGAAAGGTTCTCTGCTTTTAAGGATTTGTGTGATTAGATTAGTTCCACCCAGACACTCCAAAGTAATCCTCCCACCCCAAGGTCCTTAATTTAATTGCATGTGCAAAGTTCTTTTTGCCATGTATCTTAACAGATTCACAGATTATAAGGATCAGGGTATGGTTATCTTTGTAGAGGACTATTATCTTGCCTACCATATTGCCAATTGCAGCTCTGTGCTTTTGGAAATTGTTTGGCTGAGCTCCAAAATTTTGGAATAACTTCATAAATGCAATTGACTATCAAAAGGCTGTGGATGCAATATGAAAGGGAAGAGCTTAAAAGAGCACGTTGGAGCCAAATAGTTGTCTCCGAGTACTTCACTTACAAGAGTTAATCAATCCCAGCACTTTGGGAGGCCGAGGTGGGTGGATCACCTGAGGTCAGGAGTTCGAGACCAGCCTAGCCAACATGGTTAAACCCTGTCTCTACTAAAAATACAAAAAAAAAGAAAAATTAGCTGGGCATGGTCACAGGCACCTGTAATCCCAGCTACTGAGGAGGCTGAAGCAGGAGAATCACTTGAACCTGGCAGGTGGAGTTTGCAATGAGCCAAGATCGTGCCATTGCACTCTAGCCTGGGCAACAAGAATGAAACTCCATCTCAAAAAAAAAAAAAAAAAAAAAGTTAATCAAACATTCTCTTAGGAGTTAATTAAAAACTCCACTCCAGGTTGGTACAAAACACTATAAAATCATTGTATCCCCACCCAAATCTCATGTTGAATTGTGAGTGTTGGAGGTGCGGCCTGGTGGGAGGTGATTAGATCATGGGAAGTGGATTTTTCCCTTGCAGTTATTCTCATAATGGGTGAGCTCTCACAAGATCTGATTGTTTAAAAGTGTGTAACACTTCTCCCTTCACTCTTTCTCTCTCTCTCTCTCTCTCCTGCTACTACATGAAGACATGCTTGCTTCCCCTTTGTCCTTCCACTGATTGTAAGTTTTCTGAGGCCTTCCAGTCATGCCTCCTGTCCAGTCTGCAGAACTGTGAGTCAAGTAAACCTCTTTTCTTCATAAATTACCCAGTCTCAAATAGTTCTTTAAAGCAGTTAAGAACAGACTAGTTCAATCATCTTATCCTAGAATTGGTCTCTGAATTTGCAGGAATTCCCAGGGCACAAATAACCCAAAACAGGCTTCTGGAACTAGATGTGATATAACTCAATGACTTAAAATTTTCTTCTTACTTGAACATGGGAGTTATGCTGATTTTTCCCATGAGTACAGTTGACAGTGATTAGTTATTCCTACATCAGTGCCCTTTATGTGTCATCTGAGTCTTCTTGTGAGTGAGGCATCTATCAGATAAAATTTTATTGATCCCTAAATTATGCTCTTTACATTTTAGCATTTTGTTGTACACGTTGGATCTAAGAAGTAGCCAAGGACACTAAAAACACAATGTAAGGAAAGAGCTCCGTGAAGTAGCAACAACAGAATTACTTTCCATTATTTTTGGAGATTATTCTTTTTTCAACACACTTCAGTCATTTTTGGTCAACATTTCCTCATATTATTTAAAAGAATGAACCATAACTTCATAAAAGACAAGTTAGAAATTCACGAAACAATTCCTTTTTAAAAGATCAAGAGTGTGATGTTTAGTAGACATACACGGCCATTCTCTTTCCATCAGCAATTTTTTTCCTCCATAGCCAAGGCTTGAACATTTCGTCTCTGCTCCCGTCTATTCCATGATTATAACTTTTCATCATTCGTTGTAATTCAGTGCCATTCTTGGTAAGCAAACATACACATCCTAAAAAGTTCACAAACACTGTAAATTACTGTTTGATTGGTTGAGTGCATTAATGTTCTACTTTACATTACCTCTATTTTCCATTAAAATGAAGTAAAGCAAAGTTTACCCTGTCATAGAACACCTACTCTGTAAGTAAAAGCTAGGAAATGGCAATGAGCAAGGCATAGTTAGTAGATATAAAATGATTAGAGCAGAGATTTCATATAAAGGCTAGAGGCAATAATGTTCTAAAGGGAAATTTAGGCCTTATTATAAAGAGTCTTGATTGCCAGGGTCAGAAATATGAGTGTATTTTGTAATCAGTGGTTCATTAGAATTACCTTTTTGAGATCTTAATAAACATGAGTATTGGCAGGGCTGATAATTAGATAGTATTTAGGACCATTCTGGTTTTTGCAGCCATAGTCCATGCTGATTGGTCAGGAAAGCAGTTTTGATTGGTTAGTGTTTTTGTCATATCACTGGTAAAATTCTTTGGATATCACCCCTGAATGTCTGGGTCCTATGTCCAGAGAGTCTACTTCCTATGTCTAGATGAGGCTTGGGCACAGTATTCTCTACAATCTCTCCATGTGGTACTAATGCAAAGTGAGGAAAGGGAAGCACTATTACAGAAGAGTGAAAGCTCGGAAAGGCTTTCCAGTATAAGTAACAGGATGAATATGTCTTTTTATTTTTTATTTTTATTTTTTTTTTAGACGGAGTCTCGCTCTGTCGCCCAGGCTGGAGTGCAGTGGCGTGATCTCGGCTCACTGCAAGCTCCGCCTCCCGGGTTCATGCCATTCTCCTGCCTCAGCCTCCCGGTAGCTGGGGCTACAGAGAAATAATTAATCTGGAATATATTGAAGGCACGAAGAAATTGAGATAGGAAAGTTATTCATTTATTGATTCAACAAGTAATTACTATGTGCATTTCTGGGTATTGAACTGCAGTGCCAGTCCAGTTGAAGAGATGGAAAAGGAAGTGCCAGAAGGAAAAATGGACTTTGCAGATATCAAGATGATCAAACAGACAATACTATAGGACCAAATGAATATGCAGTCAGGAAAGGAGAGGAGTCAAAGGAGACTGAACTTCCTAATGAACGGGAGGAATAGTGTTAAGAAAATTAAGAGACAGAGACAATTTCAGAGACATGATGAATTCAGTTAAAAATACATCCAACTTGAGGTATAGGTAGGTTGCCCAAGAAGAAATGTCTAGTAGGGTTTTAGAGAAGAGCTGGTTAGAATTTTGAAGGCTGAAGTAAATATTATAGCATCATCTGTGCAGAAATAGTGAAAGCACTACAGTGACTGAGATGAAATCTAAGGCATTATATAGAAAATACAGTGGAGGACTGAGAACTAAGATTTATTAAAGGAGTGAAGGAAGACACAAGAGGAGAACCTAGATAGGGTAGAGTCAGGAAAATTAAGAGATTGTCACATATTGAGAAAAGTCAGCAAAAATTCAACTGAAGAGACCATTGTCTATTCCTATAAGGAGCCTCAGATCTATTTCAAAACACATAGAGTTGCATCAGAAGTCAAGCAGCCACATGTGATCTATACTTAATATTAAATATACAAATATAGTCACTAAAGGTTAGTTTTTTATTATATAACCTTGCTGGTATCAAAACTATACTGACAATACTTCAGTTCCTCTTGGATAAATATGCACTGAGAAATTGGCAAGTTAGTCAAACAAATATTGGACAACAAATAAAATTTGGATAAAGTTGATAAAAATTTGGCATAATTGGCATAAACTATGAACAGCCAGGAAATAAGAGTACACACCAAGTATCAAAATTGAAGAAATAACATCACTGTTGTTTAACAAAGACTAAGAGCCTACCACATGTCTAAAATGCTGAGTTTCCAATGGGAAAAGAGTTTTTTAATAGCCATTACTTACAGAAATTGGTGAACAATCTACTTGCCAATGAAATTTTTAACTCCACCTAGATGAACAAATCTAGAGACTTAACTACTCTAGATAATCCTTTTTTTTTTTTCACCGTAATCCACAGTGTGGTAGATATAGGTGCACTGGACACACAGAATCCCACAATGAGTTAAGACAGATTAGTTCCAGAAGATAGAGATTTGAGCACTAGTTCTGACTTAATTCATTGTGATATTATTTGTGTCCAGTTTCCTCACTTTCAAATATATTTTAAATATGTGAAACAAATTGTAAAATATTTCAGAGGAAGAACCATTTTTTTCTTCAGCTTCAGCCCATCAGAATCTACCTTGGCTTTGGTAGTTAGTTTTAGTTTCTTATTCATGATATTTTCAGCCTTTTATTGATCTTTTCTTAAACCTCTTATTTTTAGTTACTGTGACTACTGCAGACAGGATTGAAGGAGAGGACATTAATTGAATTTATTAAAGTCTATTCAATAGAATTTATTGAACACTTACTTTAAGCTCAGCTCCACACGAGATATAAGATAAATCTCTGCTCTTGTGCTTGATAAGCTAACCATCTATTTGGGGGAAATAAGACTAATATGAAAGCAAATATTAATTTGCAACACAAATTGGTATATAATTAAGGACCAAAAAATGGCAGATCAATAGGAGATACAGTTCATGAAAACATGAGTAAGTCCAAAGCATTTGAGAAAGGCATCACAGAGAATTCCATCTTGATTTTGAAAGACTGAGTAGGTTTTGAATAGATAGAAGAAGGAAAGGCATACCAGAAAAGGAGAACTAAATAAGCAAATGTATAGAGGCTGGAAAGTTCTGGGAGAATTCTGAACAGATCCTTCTTCTGGAAGGACAATCTAGTCTTTCTGCTTCAGTGATTTTCATTCTGGCTAGCTTTCTGGTTTCTGACTACTTCCATTTCTAACCTTGCAAAGAATTTTAAGTAGACAGAAAACCATGAGTAGAGAGAGAAAGGAAGGAACATAATGCACTGTAGTACAGTGGGACATCCCTTACTCAAGCATTTATATGTGCTTATTCTCACTAAGTTTTAGGCCAGTTTAAGAACATTCACATATTAACTTAGTTAATCTTCATAACAATCATGTAATAGAGGCAATATTTTAATCTGCATTTTACAAGGAGAAGACAAAGGCACACAGAGGTTAAGTGACTTGTGCAAGGTGATACAACTTGGTAAATGATGGAGGTGGAATTTGAGCCCAGATAATCTGGCTTCAGAGCCCTGACTCTCATGCAGAACTGGATGTGTAGGATTGGTTATTTTAGAGAGAGCTTTGAAACACAAATGTAGAAGTTGGTATTTTACTCTAAGAGCAGATGGAAATCCTTGAAGGTTTTGACATTCTAATAACCATGATAAAATTAACCTGGCACGGGTGTGTAGGATTTACTAGCGGGGAAACTGCTACTATATTCTCTCTTTCTAAATTGCACTTCCAAGTGTCCTATGTAGTTGGCAGACATGGATCTGACCCACAATTCTAGTTTAACTGAGGTTCTGACTTTAGAATGGTAGTTGTCTCCTTGTGCCAGTGTTTTAAGTTAAACCATGGAAACATAAAACAAGTGCAAGGTGGTGATTATTCTAGTTTACTTTTTTCTGTGTGGCTTAAAACACCCACACTAAAGCTACTTCTAGGGGAATCTTGCTGTTTGCCTGCCTGCCTGCCCTCTTCTCGGCTTACACAAAGCCTTATTTTTTTCCCCAGCTGCCATTGCCTTTTCAAGCTGAGCATGAATGCCACCCATTCATGAGGCAACGTGGACAACTGATCAGAAAAGGTCCCGGTGCTTCCAATTAAAAATTGTTCAATAGCGTAAAAATTCAGGCACTCCAAGACTAAAATCAAATCCCTGGTGGGTTGTTGATAGACTTGTTATTAAAGGTTTGCCAAGGCTTAATAAGACTGATAACAAGAAACTGCAAATCTCTTCAAACTATTCTGTAAACATTTGGATAGGGCTGAAATTAAGAATACGAAGAATATGCATTTCACTGATCTGTTTTTCTTAGCTGGCTTTCATGTTACAAAATCAGCAACATATGTCGGCAGATCCAATTGACCTTCAAGCTGGAGTTTGAATATCTTAGGTGTATGTCACCTCATCTCTGGCTTTGATCTGCTGTAAGAAAGAGAAATATAATTATTAACACATTGTTCTGTGCAGCTGACAGAGCATCTGGTATTTTAGAAATGCTTTTGAGATGCCTTAATTGATTTGAAAGTTGGTTGTAAGTGAGCTTGGAAAAGATGCAACACCTTTGCAGCATTAGTAATTAAGAGAAATCAGAAGTAGGTTTTATCTGCGTTAAGTTGTAGCTGAAAATGAAATATCTAAGGATAATTAAGAAAAAAATTAATTTAAAAAATGATAGCAATAAGGCTCCCCATGAATGATTAGTCAACTCTCCTCCTGATATAGACAACTTAATTACATTTCCTTATTGCAGCGTCACCATCCACCTGACTATGGTGACTGAATTTCCATCATGGACTATTATGCTTGAGTTTCCATTATAAACAGTAATTTTTTTAGGCTTAGAATTTCAGTCATTTCATGTTGATTCAGATTTTAACTCAGCATATGAGCTGTTCATCCAGCTGCCATTATGAAAAAAAAAAGAACATTTTAAGTCTTTCAAGACAGTAATGAATAAAAAATAAAGGTGTACAATTTTCATGTTTCTTTCCTCAATCTCTAGTCTAAAAGAAGTGTGCAAAAGAGTCTGAAAATGTTTCAATACTGGTTTTGATCCAAATGAATGAAAAGTATCGCTCTATTCATTTGAATGAGGAACACTGTCATAACAAATATTTGAAAGGAGATAGGAAGTGTAAGGCCCTTTCAAAAAAGAAGATAAAAACACTTCTAAATACAGTAAGAAATGCTGGGTATGATTTATTTTCCAAAACAGGAATAGTTCCCAATATAATTCTCATTTTATTAATCATTTCCTTGGGCAACTTTGCATTCATTTCTAGAAATTTTAGGAGTAAATTTCAAAAATTCCCACCAAATTGAAAATACTGGAATCTCATATATGTTTCATTGCTTATGTAATCTTTTTCATTGGTAATGTACTTGAGGCACATTTCTGATCTGGTTATTCTTAAGAACTATTTATTTTCTATTATGAAAGCAATGTCACTATCACAGTACTGTTGATCTTGCTTTGTAAGGAATTTACACATTTGTGGCTCAGAAGGAACTATACAGTTGGTCAGCTGTTTGTTGTATATTCATGTATTATCCAAATGATGACATAATGAGGTAATCACTTGATTGTTCTGTGGCCATTGCCTGCCTTCCTTTGTGTGACTGATTTTTTTTAAGAAGTACAAAGTAATAGTCAAAGTGATTTTCTTCTTTCAAGAAAACTTTAGTTTGTAAACTTGCGAAGATTTTTAAAACTGGAAAATCCTCTGGTGTTGACTTAGGTACGCTACATTTTTATGCTGTGAATATATGTATCACTTAAAATATACCCCTTTAAACACGGGAATATTATTAGTCTCATGAAGGCAAACAACACTCAGCAACAATCCTTGAACTATAAAATTTAAAAGTATAAAAACTGAAAAAATTACCTGAAACTAAGGAGTAAATTCTGGTTCCAAATATAACTGTCAGGAAATGTGAAGTGTAGCTTTTGAGAACTCAAAAGATGAAAATCAAGCTAATCTGAAAACATTTGTTGCATTCTATAATATCAAATGAATTGACACATATTCACTAAAAATTCCCCAAATAAAAAATTCAGTTAATCTTTGGAGGGAGAGATTTCTCACCTACTTACCTACCCACCCACCACACTGTTGGTATTTATGCACACATACACACAAATAAGGGTAGTGAAAAAGGATCAGATCAAAATTATGTGAAGTAGCCCGTATAGAATCAGTGATCATCTATACTCAATCTTTGTGAAGTAGATATTTGGAGAGAGTGAGAGAAAGTGACTGGAGGTGGACTCTGCTCTCTAAAAGTCACAATTTTAAAACTCATTAAATAAAGCTCAGAATACTGTACAAGACTGGTATATATTGCAAATGTTCTTTGGTACTCTTATCCTATGTGATAGCAAATAGCCATGCTTCTCATAGACCGTGACTATCTCTTTCATTCAACCACATTCATTGAGTACTTACTCTTTTTAAAAGACCAGATATGTACAGATGTATAAAAGAGGCTCTTTAACCTCATGTCACTTGGAGTCCAAAAACTGGTTAGGATGAAAGGAGAGGTTTTTCAAAGGCAAAATTCCCCTGACACTTAGAGGTGGAGGTTCTTTAACCTGAATGATATATAATTCATAGTTTCTCCCACGGGGAAAAAAATAAACAGCAAATAAGGAAAAACTTTTTGAAATATTGTGGCACCTTTATCACTATTAAACATGTGATAATTCTAGAATAATCTGATACAGAGGTGGAAATTAAGCTTGCTGACATTTGTCTAAAAGAATTGCCTGAATGAAGGTGGGGAAGGTAAAGGAAATGATAAATCTGATGAAAAAGTAATAGACTCTATTCTTCAACCAAATGTGAATCATTTATCTGTCACACACTTTTTTCAAGTAAACCTCCTAATTAGCATGAATAATTAGAAACAGGATTTGCATATTTTCTTTCAAAGAACAAATTGTGGCTTACCATCTTGATATCCCAACAAAGTATATCTAACCTAACTATTAAAATATTGTGAAGATTTCTATAAATAAAAACATTTACTACGGTCAGATTTTCAAAGTCAAAATAAAGTGACTGTCTAGTGTGTTTGAGGATATTTGGAGGGTTCTATTTGGCTGCCTACAATTCAATTCAGTATAAATTTGCTAAGAATTTTGGACTCATAAAACACAAAAAAATGCTAAAATCATTCTTCCCTAACAATTATTTGCCAGGTTTATACAGATGACTTCCTCAACTTTCCTTTGCACCAGTTTTTCATAAATATGGTGATCATCCTCTAATTCCAGTATTCACATAAGTTGTTCTCTTTGCATATATCACATTTCAATATTAAAATTCAACTGTTTATTAAAGAAAGAGCAACCAAGCCAGGTGCAGTGGCTCACACCTGTAATCCCAGCACTCTGGGAGGCTGAGGTGGGTGGATCACCTGAGGTCAGAGGTTCAAGACTAGCCTGACCAACATGGTGAAACCCTGTCTCTACTAAAAATACAAAAATTAGCTGGGTGTGGTGGTGCACACCTGTAATCCCAGCTACTTGGGAGGCTGAGGCATGAGAATCTCTTGAACCTAGGTGGCAGAGGTTGCAGTGAGCTGTGATCACGCCATTGCACTCCAGCCTGGGTGACAGATTGAGACTCTTTCAAAAAAAGAAAGAAAGAAAGAGCAAATTTCAGAAAGTGATTTAAAAATAAATGATTGACCGCCCCCCCCACCCCCACACACACACTACATTAATATTTGGTATACGTTATATTGCTTGAAAGAAGATAATATGATATTTTTTATTTTCCCTCTATTTTAATGACAGTTTCTTTCTGCTCTCTTTAGGGAAGAGAAAAACTCAAGTTATTTCTCTACAGAAGAAACCTAAATGGTAAGTGTGATACTGAACTGATAAACTGAAGTTGCCAAAGTGGTTAGTAAATGAAAGGAAGGAGAAGCAAAGGAAAGTCTTAGCTTCTAACTCTGTTCCATGCTAAACTAGCATACTCACCTATCAGCACACCAGATATAAGCCAAACCTTTGAGGTGAGATATAATTCCCTTCATGATCTCAGATGAGGAAGCTGAGATTCAAAAAGATCAAAATCTGGCCAAAGACACATGGCTAAAAGGAGGATTAAAACCCTGAATAAACCTTGACTAGAATCCACCAAACCATAGTCTGAAGGAAACTGATTCTGAATCAGAGAGTTTGGAAATTAAAGTTGAATAACCATCATAAAAAGATGCAATTTTGGTTTCAACAAAGACATTTGGCTGAAGACAGCAAACAACCAAGGGTCTGCTCAAGAATCTTTGAAGTTAATTTCTAGAAAAAAACAAAAAACAAACAAACAAAAAAAAAACAGAGTCTTATACATATTTTGCCATTCATGGTTTTCCCATTTCTGCCATACATCAACTGTGAATATAGGAATGGTTTCAAAGCCTACCTCAAAGTGGTCCTAATTTAAAGATAGATTGATTGGTCTGGCTCCTTGGCTTATTTACAGGGTTCTACTGTTATCTGATGAAGTCAGGTTCACTAAAGATTTGTGAAAAATGAACTGCTTTTACAGTGCGAATCCCTTACCTCACCTTTCTCCACCCCAAATCCAAAGGTTTCTTTGGGTCTGTCTCCAGGTAGCCTACATATACCTGAACCATAAACTCCCACCAGTTCTATCTCTGGGAACCAACATCAACAAGGAAGTATCACTAGATTGTCTAGAAAATTCTGTAGAAAAAGAGGGCCAGAGAAAGGAGCTGACTAGGTCTTTATCATAAAACATTCTAGTGAGGATAATAAATGACAGACATATACTTGGGATCAAGGTTAGAGTTATCTAGCTGGCTTAAAGGCTCTGGGTTTTATTTAATGCAGGAAAACATCAACATTTCCCAAGAGGAGAGGCATTTATTTTAAGTGTTATTCAGGTGTATTTTTGCAAAATTCCCCTTTCTATGGTGCAACTATCATATACATATTTAAATAACAGACTGTTAACCTTTTAAACTTGTGTGGTCCTTTTACATATAGGTGAAGTAATTACAAAGTTACAAATAATATTATCATGTATCTGTCGAGTTTATGTGGGTTTCCCTCGAAGAAGGAAAGATTCCATTTATTAATCTGGAATCAATCCCCTTCTTTCTACTCAGGGTTTGTGGTAATGCCCAGTGATGAATGTCATAGCTGGCATCTTAGATAAAATGTTCTTTCTGAACAACACCCAAATATGCTTAAAATTGCAGATGACAGTTGTAAGCCTTTTTGCCTGCTTATCTGTCTGCCTTCGATGTGACCCTAAATTAGGCATCAGAAGGTGTAGAGTTTAATACAGATTCCGGGCACAATATACCTTCTCACAATTAGTTGAAAGTGCTGTTTTGTAATTAAAGGGTGAAGTGGGGCATGATGAACATATGGAAAAGGAGACCCTTAATAAGTGATGGAGCCTTCAAAAGAAATTGCTAATTAGTATGCATTTGATGTGCACTATACCAATTTTAAGACTTTGCCTTGAATAAATTGCTATGTTGGGTGTTCGAAGGAGTGGTGAGATTAGCATTTACAAAGGGGGCAATTTTCTGTCTTCTTGACTCTGTTAAATGGAGGAAATAACTTCCAAGACTGGAGCAGTAGTTAGCCCATCAATCATTCTCACAGCTGGAAACTGGGGATCCCAAATGCAGAGATCAGTTAATCCGTCAGCTAATAAGTTCATAGTGGCACCATATGGCGCAGGGCCACTCCACACTGGGACAAGGACAGAACTGTTTACACAGGCATGCTGCTTTCTCAGGTAGCTCCCTGCTGACAGAATCCTTTGTTCTGAAGGATCAATTTACTTTGCACAGTAAATTGACTGAATTGATCAGTTCAGAGCATATAATTGTTGGCTAATCCTGTGGAATCATGTCCCATCCATGTGAGAGGGACAAAAGGGTGCTGCCCATGGCCTGGTCTGGGGCTCCATCCTGGGGCTATTCTCGTCGGATAGGTTGGACACTGATTAAAGGACCAGTGGACAGTAGATGTGTTGTCAGCATTGACTTCAAACGCTAAAGGGAAGAGAAACCTTGCAATGCCCAGAAGGGTTTTCTGGGTGTCTTTACTCAACTGGTATCATGACTTAACTTGGAATAGAAACAGTCAGTCAAGGCAATTTAGGTGCAAATTCTTTTCAAATACATGCCTGGAAGAATGAAAAGTACTGCTCCATCTCCAAATCTAACAAGTTATTCCACTAATGCTTATTTCGAAACTTACCTTCTATTTCTTTTCAAAAAAAGGAAAGGAAGACAAAAAAAAGTTTAAGAGATATGTTCAGAAAAGTGTGGAAACTGCAATTTAAGTGAGAAACACATTTCTTAGGCATGTGCAAAAGTGGCTGAGGTATCCACTGTCATGCCTGTGTATGGGGTATGGGAAAATGCATCAGGGCTTTTGAGAGCAAATTAGAGCAAAGTCTTCTCATCCCTGCACATTAGTGTGAACCCTTGTGCTTTGTTCCATAGATGTGTTTGATCTGACTTTGTTTTTTCCTTCTCACATAAAAAATAAAAGAAGAATATATAAAATGAAAAAATTCCACCAATAGAGATAAATGTTGGACATAGCTCCCTTCAACTAAAGGTTTTCTTCAAAAGTTAGTGTCAATAGAATCATTTCACATCAATGGCTTGAAAAGAGAATTGTATTCAATAGGAACTGCAGCCATTTGGAGTTGCTGAGAGGACATTTGCTTATTAAATGTCTGAACAGTAATGAACTTTATACAACTACCCCAAGAGTTTCACCAATTAGACGGCTACTAATTTCTTCACTTATTTTACTGAGAATAAATGTCTGAGATCAGTGTCATAAGGAGAAATTACAGCAAGTTTTTGGTTTGACAGAATTTGGAATCTTAGTGATTATCCCAGTTTTTCTCTTTTCTATAAAGAGGTATGTGCTTGATGATACTTAAGCCAATAGAGAGGGGCATACCATTTAATGGTAGTTGGTATGTTTTATCATAAAAATCTAAAATTAATAATTAAAAAATATTATCAATATATCTTCCAATACTTTTATGTGTCTTAATTTTTTTCCTCTTATGGAATTTTTAATTTCCCTATTACTATATACACAGTATACAGGATTCCACAGCATTAAAAAGCAGCAAAACCAATAACCAATAAGTATTTGTATATTTTATTTTAGGAACTACCATAGTGAGAATGAGATAAAATATAAATAATTCTGTAGAAATACTTTTAAGTTAAACTTGGGAAATTAAAAAAAAAAAAGCGGAAACATAAATTGTATAATGAAAACATCATAAGTGGAATCTAATGTGAAAGCAGGCACTTTGCCAAACAACCCTTTTTAGGGAGCAAAAGCTCTTTGTAATTTTTTGGTACAGTTTTCCCTTTCAAATGTTATCAAATTGGATTCTCCCACTCCATAGATAGCATATGAGACAAGCTTTAACTCTTTCTGAAACATTCATTTGCTAATTTTCCCTTTATTTAAGTAAAATTCACCCAAGTGCATATCCTAAAGTTGACATGAGTTCCCACACTCTAAATCACCAAGATCAAATCCATTTCCTTGCTCTGTTCTGAATCTGGCCAAATCTCCGCCTCCCTCCTATCTCAGCGTTTACCATACTGCAGAGGTAATGTCAAAGTTCTTGCATTCTAAACTAAAAGACAAAACTCATAGCCATTGAAACATATGTATTTTGCATGTTCATGGTATGCTACATAGTTGGAATTGGGTAAAATTTCATACATTTAATAACTTTTAATTTAATGACTTTTTCAATATAAGTAGTAGGTTTGGAGAGGTTGTACATTACATCTCACCAAAATATCATCAAGAAGTTTTCACCCATTTCTTTATTTTACATGTACTCATATTCTTCCTATTATAGATTCTCTATAATAGTTTCACTCACAATATTTGGGATTTTTCATTAATCAGAAAATAAATAATGTGCCTCACAGTTAGTGGTGATATATTCCAACTTTCAAGACTAATTTAAATTCATTATCCCAAAATCTTTACATAAAATCTTCAACATGTGTAACCTTTTTATTTTTTAAATTTGCAAAAAATTAGGACCCAAGGAAAAATATATGCTTTCTTCTCTCCTTTGTTACTGCTGACCTTCTCCTCCCTGGGCCTTTCTCAGCAAAGACAAAGGAAACTTCTCTCCTGTCTCATTATTCAACGTCCCTTTGCAGACTCTCTCTTAAATGCATCATTAGATGTGTTTTCTTTCTTCTGTAGTCTCAGACTAAATAAATGCCTATTCAAGGGCTTTAGAAATTTGCTGTTTTTCAGAACTAGTTTTGGGTACATGGGTTGGTTAGTAGAGTTCTTCATAGACTAAGACAAGGCAAAGGTCAAGACCTAGGGTGATTCCTCTTTGCTATTGCGGCAATTTCTTTATCAATTCGCCTAAAAGTTTACTCTCAAGTTCATAATATATCCCTCTCCTATTTTATCACTTAAGCAATAATTCCTATTTATCATATTATGTATTTTGCTTGTCTTCTTTATTCTTCCCTTTCCCCTAAACATAAGCCCATAAGGTTAGAGATAATTGTTTTGTCCATTTCTGTTTATCAGTATCTTGAATAGCACCTAGCACATAATAGGCCCTCAAAAACAGAGTGAGATCCTTGCACAAAATAAATATGCAAAAAGGGAACCAAATATACTAATTTCTACCAAAGAAGGTGAATTATTTTAAATATTATTTCAAGACTTTTTGCAGATTTGTTTTATATTGAGTCTGTAAATGTTTATTTTTCAGATTGTGAATTATCTGTGACTTTTAGGCATTGCTGTGGGTAAAAATGGAAACAGAAATGGTAAGAAAAAGTGAAATCTCTCTTTTTTTAACTTGTTTTATGTCTTAATTAAAGATTTGATATAATATGGAAATTAAAGGCCAATAATAGGGTTGGGGAATATTAATGCATTTAATTTTATCCATATAATAGTATTTATCTCTCACTATGAATTGTTAGGGAATTTATACTTTGTTTGAGATAAAAAGTTTAAGGTTTTAAATGTCCAATTTTTAAAAAGAACCGTCAAATTTATTACGCATATAATATAATTTGCACAATTACATTTGATAGGTTACACAAGATCACTTTTCTCTAAGAGTTGTGTTCTAGCCTGTGGTGTGCTGCAGCCAGCTCTGACCAGTTCATGAGAGCTGATTTTGTGCATCTGTTCCAAAATCCACATTTAGTGGTATCAAATGGGTAGCTTGAAATTGGCTGTAGTGGAAGTATCACAAAAATTGGTAAATGCTACAAATCAGGGTTGTTAAACTTTTATGAGCTCGCCACTACCCTTATCTGAGTCTGATGAAACTGAAAGCTAGCTAGTACACGACTAAACAAAAGACAGATACAATTTCCCAATATAAAATGCTTTTTGATTCATATAAACTTCCTTACCCATCTATTTCCTCTTTTTCTATCAAGCCAAGTAATAGTCAAGTATTACTCTTCAGATGAAGAGGTTTGCCATAGCAACTACTATGTTTCCAGGTGTCCAATATGTATTTATAATATGATGAATGATGATGGTGTACAGATAATAAATCTTAATCTGAAGAAAGGGAAAAGCTGATTTGTTACTCCCTTGGAAATGCAGGATGTCAGTATGTTTGGGTTACTTTGTGCTACCTGCCTCTTCCTGGCATTTTTGTGCAGGATTATTTAGAAATGAACAGAGAAACAGGAAGTTGCTTCTGATTCATTTGCAACCGTGGTCTGAGTAGTACATTCATATCAAATGTGCTTGAGGAAACCATGAGAGTCTAATGAATTTAAAAATATCTTTAGTAGGGCAAAGAAGGCTGGCATATTTTCAAATAATTGTAAAAAGCCATGAAGGTTCAAGTTCTGGTGCTTCACCTGAGGATTATGTTTGAAGGAATTGTATAATTCCTTGAACAAGAGATAGACCATATGTTTTAATGCCTTTCTTTTTGTTTATTGTCTTAGTTTGTTTTGCAATAGTGAAATACTATAGACTAGGTAGCTTAAAAAACAAACAGTTATTTTTCATATTTCTGGAGACTGGTAGGTCCAAGATCTAAGGCTGGCAGATTCAGTGTCTGGTGAAGACCCTCTTCCTGATTAGCAGATGGCTACCTTCCTGCTGTGTGCTCACATGGCAAAGAGAAGGAGAGAAAGGGCTCCGGTCTCTTCTTCTCCTTATAAGGACACTAATCCCATCATGGAGTCTCCACCCTCATGACTTCTTTGAAGCCTAATTACTTCCCAAAGGCCCCACCTCCAAATACCATCACATTGGGATTAGGGCTTCAACACAAGAATTTGGTAGGGACACATTCTGTCTATAGCATTTGTGGATGCTCCCATCTTAATGTTTTTTGAAACGTCTTCACATGTTGGTAGGTTCTTGTTTAGAAAACCAATATTATTTTATTACCTAAGTAAAAGATAATATTGTTTTCTTTTTGTGTTTAAAAAGAGATCTGAGCTATGCAACATTTGTAAACATGAAGACACTGCCCAGTAAAATCAGATAGAGTGTTCTCAATGATTTTAATTTAAAAAATCACGAATATTTCATTGATCTTTTAAAACACAAGAGCAAAGCAATAGGTCAATATATGAATTGTTTAATGTATTCTATAGTCTCATAATTCTAAACATTAGAGATAACTGAGTTTATTTTAGTTCCAACAATTCATAGAGCACGTCTCGAAAAATAGGACATTGAATAAAAATCTTGACATGTATTCACTAAGGAAAGCACAAATAATCTTATTAAAACATTGATATTATCAGTTAAAGAGTTTTCATTTAGGATAACTTATCTGAGTAAGAATAATAAATGTAACCACGGAGATAAAAAGGGGCATTTATTTTACGTTCCTAAAAGTCCAACATACTTAATGTCCAAAGTCTATCTGGTCCTGAGACCGATTCATGGGATAGTGATTAGCTCTTCTCACATAGCCTCCATACTTTCCAATCTAAGAGAAAATAATTAAAAAACTGTGGCTGACTACAAGGTGCACTACAAAGAACACAAACTAGCAGTTGCTGTGACTTTCTTATAAACTAGAGATGAATAAAACAAAATAAAAATCTCTTGAATCTCAACATTTGTGACATTTATCTGTAGAATCAGCAACTGCAGTGGCAATAAATCACTATATCCTGTTCTCACAGTTAAAGTAAAAGATTGTCAATCCCTCAGGACTATCAGGACTAGTTCAACCCTGACTGCAATAGTTCACCTCATCCTCAGCCACACTCCTACCCATATGCATATACACTTACAAACAAAGATATCATAGAACCTTAATGCTGTAAAAGACTTAGAAATCATTTGACCCATAGTGAATAAGTGCAAGGCATACATAGTAATGCCCTCCACCCCAAACTACCATGCAGATACCACTAATTGACCACAGCATTCTTTCCCCCATTCCCAAACTTGGGTTCCCATGATACATAGCCCAATGCTCCAGATGACCAGTACCAAATGAACAAGAATAACACATAACATGAAACCTATTTACCAATCCTAATTTTGGCAAACTCTTTCATTTTACATTTTTTTCTACATGATATTCTGAGCTAATGAAAACTACCTTCTCATCCCATGATAAAGATACAGTTGCTGAATACAAATATATTAAAAGAATTTTAAAATGTAACTGAGTTAAAAAGAGAAAAAAAAGAAATTCTCAGATCTGAGAAATGAACAAGAAACTGTTTTTGTGTTAGTTGATACCATGTTAGGCCAAGGAGCTATTTGTTTATAAATCACTGTTGACAAACACTCTGTTCTTAACATTCAAACAGGTTGAAGACATGTGACATGGGGCTCATTCAAAGTGGGTGCTGAAACAATGTATTGCATAAGCCAGGTATCCTGGACCAACTCTGTCCTATGAAAAAGAGGAATTGTAAGACTAACCTATCGGTTTTGGTAAGCAAAAAAGAAAAACAAAGTGCCATGAGAAATAATATCTCTAACCTTCTCCATATATGTATTTGTAATCAGAATTATGCTACCTGTATCACTTGGAACATCGCAGAAAGATATTGGGGCAAACAAGTTGCAGAACAATAAAACCTCTGGGTGCCTAGAAGAAGCTAACAGAAATAGCTAAATTTGGATACTCCCAAAATCTAGGGCACAGAAACTCTCCCTTAAAAAAAATACAGCTGAAGATAAGTTTACAATCAAAAACTAAAATTCACAAAGTATATGATTCACTATGAAGGTTGGCAGAGCCAAAACAGGAAAAGTACCACTACAAGACCTTGGAATAATGCAATGATTTGAAACATACCACAAAACAAGTACAGCAATTCTAAAGCTCAATAATAGATAACACTTCTGGTATGTCTGGCAGTCTTCTGAGCATTTTCATTCATTTAATAATTTATTTACCATTGCAACAGCTCCTAAGGTAGATATTACTACTATTCTTATCCTACAGATAAGTAAACTGAGCTTATGAGTGGTTAAGTGACAGACACAAAATTACAAAGCTAGAACGTGGTGGTAAGAAACTTAAATGTAGGCAATCTGCCTCTAGAATCTGTATTTAAAAACTATGCTCTACTACCATTATAGTAAGAATAAAATAACTACCATTTGTTTAGTACTTAGTATGTGACAGAAAATGCTTTAAGTGATTTTCTCATACTGACTTATTTAATACTCACAATAAACCTACGAAGTAAGTATTATTATAATTCCTATGTTACAGAAGAGAAACTGAAGCATAGAGAGATTGTCATATTTGTTAGGGCTGCCAGGAGAAAATATCATAGACTGGGTATCTTATAAACAACAGAAATTTATTTCTCACAACTCTGGAGGTTGGGAAGTCCAAGATCAAGGTGCCAGTAGATTCACTTCAGTATCCAGTGAGGATTGTCTTCTGGTTCATAGAAGGCATCTTCTTGCTGCATCTTTGCATAGCAGGAAGGACAAACAAGCTCCCCTGGGCTTTTTTTACAAGAGCACTAATCCTATTCATAAAGGCTCCACCCTCATGACCTAATCACCTTCTAAAGACCCCACTTCTTAATATTTTCTCATTGGCAATTAGGTTTTAACATATGAATTTGGGGAGACATGAAAATTCAGACCATAGCAGATGTTGAGTAACTATCCCCAGTTACACAGCTAGAAGTGACAGAGTCAGTCTTTCTGGAGTTCATGTCTACTATGCTATACTATCTACCATGATGGCACAGAAAGTTTGAAAGCAAAGGAGAGAAAAGGAGATTGGAAAGTAATATACCCCAAGAAGATACTAATCAAGAAGAATGTGTCACAATATACATATTAGACAAAATAGACCTTAAGTTAAAAAGCAGGGTAGGTATATACAGAGTTATTATATAATGATAAACACATTCACTCATAAGATTTAACAATCCTGAACTTGCATGTGCTTAACAACATAGCCTCAAAACATATACAGCAGAATTAAATGGAATAACACAGAGAAATTGACTAATTTATAATAGCAATAGGAGAATTAAGAAACATTTTTCAGAAACTGAGAGGTCAAGAAAGCCAAGAATTAGTGAACTTAAAGCAACTAAAGTCCAGAGAGATATAGTAAAGAGTTTTAGTGGCATACTGCTAGATAGAGCTAAATCCAGAAACAGTAACATTTCTTTATATTTGCATAGTTCTTTGTATTTAAAAAAATAATTTCACAGATAACATGATTTTATTTTAAACCTCCAAGCATTGAGAACACTTCTGGCATGTCAGACAATCTTTTAAGCATTTTAAATAACCTGTGTTGAGGAGACAAGGGAGTTTCCTTCCTATGTTTGTCGACAGGCAGAAGATAAAAATTTGAAAAAAGGTTATGGCAAAGGGTTATATCCACTTTTATATCAGATCTCGTCACACCTCATTCTCTGCCTAGGCTCACACACACTGACAAAAGAGAATTTTATTCTAATCACCCAAAAAATTTTCACATGAGAAACATACTAGAGAAAACTTCCCTTACTTCAGAATTCTTTGATACCTTCATAATAGGGGCTTTGTAATATGGAATCAGTCTGGCTCTTTTAGGTGCTATCAAGTTACTGCAAGTAGTGAAAGGAATGGAACTAGCGAAAAAGTGAGATACAATCTGCGCTCATGGAGCCTGGACTTGAAGAAGGTCATTCCAGATTTGCAACAGCACTATAGATCATGGCAGCCAGATTCAATGGAATTTTACCATTGATCATTACCATTGATCATTAACATAACATAGTTCTCCCTTGTTCTGTACTCTTCTATTTCCTCCTCTTTTACCATCTAGATTTACTCTGCATTTTGTCTCTACATCACAACTTTCCTTCATTAAAACTCCAGTTCACATAACACTTTGGCTTTGTTGTAATCTCATGATCCTTATGATCATCTACCAATGGCCTAATACTCTCCAAATTTCCCAAATATCCCTAAAAGTGAACAGATTACTTTCAGAATACTTTTTCATCCCAGGCGACCTCATAGGTAGCTGTCTAGCTTACTGTTCATTGTCTTTGGGTCAGGCACCCACACAGTCTGCTATGGCCAATGAAGACATAGCCTCAAACATGTCTAGTCAATATGGGTTTTTCCTTTTCCTGTGAAAAAACTATGGGGTTAGCACAATTGTGAGGCTTCAATAAAGAAATTTTTTTTATACAAGTTTACCTGAATTCTAAAATAAAATAGAAAACTATTTTTAAGAAAACAGAAAGCTTTTTCATATTACTACCACATCAGTCAATTCTTTTTCCACACCATAGTTATTTCTCAAGCAATAACCTGCATTACCATATTATTTTTATAGAAGACTATTAGATGCATATTGCTACCTACTAGGAAAATGATGATTCCAAAGTTTTTTTTTTTTAGGTTCACTAATGTTTAATTTACAATACAATTTTGCTTTAATGCTCTATTTTCCTAAATATAAGGAACTAAAGTAATGATGTTATAAAATTAAGTAGAATCATCTCTTGAGCTATGATTCTGTAGACCTGCTTAAAATTATAACAAGTTAAAAAATAGGAAGAATTCAATAGTGAAGCCACCTGGACTGGACCTGAAATTTTCTTTATGGGAAGATTTTTTTAATTATTATACTTTAAGTTCCAGGGTACATAGGCACAACGTGAAGGTTTGTTATATATGTATACATGTGCCATGTTGTTGTGCTGCACCCGTTAACTCATCATTTACATTAGGCTTATCTCTTAATGCTATCCCTCCTCCCTTCCCCCACCCCATGACAGGCCCTGATGTGTGATGTTCCCCACCCTGTGTCCAAGAGTTCTCATTGTTCAATTCCCACCTATGAGTGAGAACGTGCAGTGTTTGGTTTTCTGTCTTTGCAATAGTTTGCTCAGAATGATGGTTTCCAGCTTCCTGCATGTCCCTACAAAGGACATGAACTCATCATTTTTTATGGCTGCATAGTATTCCATGGTGTATATGTACCACATTTTCTTAATCCAGTCTATCACTGATGGACATTTGGGTTGGTTCCAAGTCTTTGCTATTCTGAATAGTGCCACAATAAACATATGTATGCATGTGTCTTTATAGCAGCATGATTTATAATCCTTTGGGTATATACCCAGTAAAGGGATGGCTGGGTCAAATGGTATTTCTAGTTCTAGATCCATGAGGAATTTCCACACTGTCTTCCACAATGGTTTAACTAGTTTACAGTCCCACCACCAGTGTAAAAGTGTTGCTATTTCTCCACATCCTCTCCAGCACCTGTTGTATCCTGACTTTTTAATGATTGCCATTCTAACTGGTGTGAGACGGTATCTCATTGTGGATTTGATTTGCATTTCTCTGATGGCCAGTGATGATGAGCATTTTTTCATGTGTCTGGTGGCTGCATAAATGTCTTCTTTTGAGAAGTGTCTGTTCATATCTTTTGCCCACTTTTTGATGGGGTTGTTTGATTTTTTCTTGTAAATTTGTTTAACTTCTTTGTGGATTCTGGATATTAGCCCTTTGTCAGATGGGTAGATTGCAAAAATTTTCTCCCATTCTGTAGGTTGCCTGTTCACTCTGATGGTAGTTTCTTTTGCTGTGCAGAAGCTCTTTAGTTTAATTAGATCCCATTTGTCAATTTTGGCTTTTGTTGCCATTGCTTTTGGTGTTATACTCATGAAGTCCTTGTCCATGCCTATGTCCTGAATGGTATTGCCTAAGTTTTCTTCTAGGGTTTTTATGGTTTTAGGTCTAACATTTAAGTCTTCAATCCATCTTGAATTAATTTTCGTATAAGATGTAAGGAAGGGATCCAGTTTCAGCTTTCTACATATGGCTAGCCAGTTTTCCCTGCACTATTTTTTAAATAGGGAATCCTTTCCCATTGCTTGTTTTTGTCAGGTTCGTCAAATATCAGATGGTTGTAGATGTGTAGTATTATTTCCAGGGGCTCTATTCTGTTCCGTTGGTCTATATATCTGTTTTGGTACCAGTACCATGCTGTTTTGGTTACTGCAGCCCTGTAGTATAGTTTGAAGTCAGGTAGTGTGATGCCTCCAGCTTTGTTCTTTTTGCTTAGGATTGTCTTGGCAATGCGGGCTCTTTTTTGGTTCCATATGAACTTTAAAGTGTTTTTCAATTCTGTGAAGAAAGTCATTGGTAGCTTGATGGGGATAGCATTGAATCTATAAATTACCTTGCGCATTATGGCCATTTTCACAATATTGATTCTTGCTATCCATGAGCATGGAATGTTCTTCCATTTGTTTGTGTCCTCTTTTATTTCATTGAGCAGTGGTTAGTAGTTCTCCTTGAAGAGGTCCTTCACATCCCTTGTAAGTTGGATTCCTAGGTATTTTATTATTCTCTTTGAAGCAATTGTGAATGGGAATTCACTCATGATTTTGCTCTCTGTTTGTCTGTTAATGGTGTATAGGAATGCTTGTGATTTTTGCACACTGATTTTGTATCCTGAGACTTTGCTGAAGTTGCTTATCAGCTTAAGGAGATTTTGGGCTTAGACAATGGGGTTTTCTAAATACACAATCATGTCGTCTGCAAACACGGACAATTTGACTTCCTCTTTTCCTAATTGAATACCTTTATTTCTTTCTCTTTCCTGATTGCCCTAGCCAGAACTTCCAACACTATGTTGAATAGGAGTGGTGAGCGAGGGCATCCCTCTCTTGTGCCAGTTTTCAAAAGCAATTCTTCCCATTTTTGCCCATTCAATATGATATTGGCTGTGGGTTTTTCATAAATAGCTCTTATTATTTTGAGATATGTCCCATCAACACCTAGTTTATTGAGAGTTTTTAGCATGAAGGGCTGTTGAATATTGTCGAAGGCCTTTTCTGCATCTATTGAGATAATCATGTAGTTTTTGTCTTTGGTTCTCTGCTTATATGCTGGATTACCTTTATTGATTTGCGTATGTTGAACCAGTCTTGCATCCCAGGGATGAAGCCAACTTGATAGTGGTGGATAAGCTTTTTGATGTGCTGCTGGATTCGGTTTGCCAGTATTTTACTGAGGATTTTCACATCGATGTTCATCAGGGATATTGGTCTAAAATTCTCTTTTTTTGTGTGTCTCTGCGAGGCTTTGGTATCAGGATGATGCTGGCCTCATAAAATGAATTAGGGAGGATTCCCTCTTTTTCTGTTGATTGGAATAGTTTCAGAAGGAATGGTACCAGCTCCTCCTTGTACCTCTGGTAGAATTCGGCTGTGAATCTATCTGGTCCTGGACTTTTTTTGGTTGGTAGGCTATTAATTATTGTCTCAATTTCAGAGCCTGTTATTGGTCTATTCAGGGATTCAACTTCTTCCTGGTTTAGTCTTGGGAGGGTGTATGTGTCCAGGAATTTATCCATTTCTTCTAGGTTTGATTTGTGTAGAGGAATTCATAGTATTCTCTGACAATAGTTTATATTTCTGTGGGATTGGTGGTGATATCCCCTTTATCATTTTTTATTGTGTCGATTTGATTCTTCTCTCTCTTATTCTTTATTAGTCTTGTTAGCGATCTATCAATTTTGTTGATCTTTTCAAAAAACCAGCTCCTGGATTCATTGATTTTTTGAAGCGTTTTTTGTGTCTCTGTCTCCTTTGGTTCTGCTCTGATCTTAGTTATTTCTTGCCTGATGATTCCAAAGTTTTAAAGTAGATAGAGTGATTCACAAGTTCTAATATTTTTCTATTTCTTTCAAACTTAAAAGTACCAAATAGAAAATAATCAAGATGACCCACTGTAATGTTTGCCATCTATCTAGGATTTGAGAGGATAATTCAGGTTGGTTTTTGAAAAATTAATTTTGTTCAGGACACACAAGTGCTAAATACAAGTTTACAAGAATGAAAACCAAGATTAACTCTGAATGAGTGATGGGAAGAAAAGTCAATTGCCTGATGATTCCTGGCAAATAGCCATATCATATGTTTCTTTTCATATTGGAGTCCCTAGAGGGCAACAGATACACAGAAAATGAGTTTTGGCTGAACAATGTGTCACCATCTTGAGGCAAAGTCCAGAATGGTGATGCTATGGATGAACCATGAGTTCAAAAGACTCCAAACTGTCTAGGAACATTTCCAAAACTTTATTACAGCATTTTTGTGAGACTATAAAAGGGTGACTTTTAAAAATGTTAAAAAGAGAGACATTCTAAACTAGCATAAAATCAGACACTGCGAAAATTAGCTCTATTGCCTTCACAATTCTACTTAGGCACACACACTATAAAACTCTTTCAAATTCACCATTGATGTCTGGAAGGAAAAAGCTTTCTTTTTCATGCATTCCCTTCTGGATTTTCTGTTTTCCTGTGTTACCAAGCCCAGTCTTAAAAGAATGGCTCCTTCCCTAAACAAAGGAGGTCCTTGGCTGGTACAGCATAGCTGGACTGTCAGACACTGACAGACTGAAAAGCTACAAATCTGCAATGAACCAACAATAGGGCTCCATGACCTTTAGCACCTTCCCGAGTTGTCTGACCCCATTCCTTTGTCTTTCTCACTTTTAGTTTTGGACATGTTACCTACAGCTCCTTCAAAGATCTGAAGTCATCTTAATGTGTTTCTGTGGAAGTTAAATTCTCAATTGCACATCCTTTTAGTGAAAGTTAAATTAATTTTTAACATATTCTTTCACCCTTTTTCTTCACCCTGTGAAGATTTTCACAGATATACACAAAGCATGGTCTTAGATTTCTGAGAACTTGTCTCCTGCTGGATATTCTCAATTCCTTCCTGTTGAAATAAGAAAATAATAATAATAATAATAATAATAATAATAATAATAATAAGGCTAAGCCATTCTGACAGCCTCACTAAAAAATTTTCAGTTTGCACAGTACATAGCAACAAGTGACCTGTTAAATGATGACAAATCCTTTAGATTATGGCTTTAGACCTTTAACCTTTTGACTTTAGGTTGTATCCAGGGAGCAGTCAGAGAGGAAGAATGCAATAAACTGCTTGTAATCTAGTGGTCTCAAAAGAAATTACATCAAAACCAGCTGTTACACCACTAGTCATTAAAGACTGACAACACGTTAACTAACATATGGCCATTATATTGAAAGAGACTTTCCTCCCCACCCGCTGCCAAACTACTAGAGGACTCTTGCTTCACTTAACATCAGAAAATGTGGATGCAACGAAGCAACTCAACACTTAAACTATCAATAAGAGAGTTGCATTTGGTTGAGATATGACCTCTTTATTTTAATATTTTTGAGGAATCTGGCCAATTTAGAACATTGTGGTTTAGATGTCTTGGCAGTTAGAATAACTTTTCTTTGGATTGTTAAATGTCTGTGTTTCTGTAGGATTGCAGCTGTCTTTCCTCCCACCTGCCTTTTGAAATGAAGAAAATTGATGCAGGGATTTTAATGATAAAGTACAATTCCCCAGGTACCACTTTCTGCGTTCTTTTGCTTGAAATGTTGAAGGACTTTGTGTTGGATGTCACGCCAGTCTATGTCTGACAACCAACAACATGTCAAAGCTGTGGCATAAAAGCTTGAAATGTAGTGCACATCTTTCTGGGGATTGTCATCCAGCCACACCAGCATTTAAAATATAGCAAACAGTACTGGTAGGCTTCCAAGATAAAACCCAAAATTAGTCTGGGAAGCACACAGTGGTGGTTTAAAAACATGGGGTGGAAAACATGTTGCTAAGTGCCTGTTACAGACACAACCTGTATAAAACAGAGAGAATGCCAAGGGCATCCAAAGAAGAGAAGATGTCTTTGCCCACCTGGGAAACCAAACATTTGAACAAGAGGGCAAAGCCAGTGACACAGCCAGAGGACAAATTCAGCAAGCAGCACCATTCCTGAGGCATCTTTATGACCTTGCTCTCTGTCAGGCAGAGTTCTGTCAGTAATCCCCTCAAACTCTTTCCGCATTTTTCTGATTTCTAGAACTAAATTCTATTTTGATTTTTTGTAGTTGAACATATTCTAAATTTTAAAGCAGATTCAACCCAAAATTAAATATCCATTTTGGATAGAAAAAACAACTACAACCAAGATGTGATCTTATGAGGCTAACAACATATTTTTTGATCTGTAGATGCATGGCCAAGTCTTTATGCAGTGAGGGTGTTTGGAAGTTTTGTTCCTTTTTTTCACTCAAATAACAAGAATAAAAATTTGGCATGCCTTTGTTTGTTCATTCACTTGCTGCATAATTGTCAGCTGGCAGCCTACCTCAGTGCTAGGCCTAATTCAACCAAACATGAGGGCAGGATTTACCCTCCTACTTGTTGCTTTTTTTTTTCCTGGAGAAACAAGGTCTTTCTGTGTTGTCCAGGCTGGTCTCGAGTGCCTGGCCTCAAGCAATTCTCCTGTCTCAGCCTCCCAAAGCGCTGGGATTACAGGTGTCAGTCACTATGCCAAGGCAACTTGTTGCTCTTCATTGTGAGATTGAACAAAGGGGAGTGGAGTTAAGGAACCCACATTTGAATCATATCTGTAAAATGCACTTGTTAAGGCCAATGCTCTCAAATTTCACAGATTTTTTTGAATGAAAATTCTATAAAATAAAATGCATGAAAGTGTTCTGTACAATTTATGCAATGTATAAAAGAATTAATAATTTTATTACCTTCTGCAACTACCTAATTATCTAGTAGAGTGAGTGGTGACCATGCGTCCTGGGACTATCTCCACTGTGTGCAAGGTTAATCCCACATGAATATTCTTACTGCTGGAACCTCTGATATTGACCCCCGTAAGGGACCCTAAAATATTCATTAGTAAGTAAAATGTTAGTGATGCTCATATGTCAGGTATTCCTGATGGTTATAATAATAATACATTTGGTACTTGTCTCGCCACTAGTAAGTGAAGAAAAAACAATGCAACCTTCACTGGCACTCTAACTGCACCCCTGCATTGTTAATCCACAAATATTTTCTTGTCTTATTTTTTAAATTAAGCTGAACAGAAAGATACATACCACATGTTCTTACTTATGTGTAGAATCTAGAAGAACTGAACTAGAAACAAAGAGTAGAATGGTATGTACCAGAAGCTGGGGTTGGGGAAGGGGTGGGGAGAGGATAGTTGAAGGGTACAGAGTCTCAGTTAGACACCTACATATTCTGAAAGGGATTGTAATAACTTGTTTATATACTTATTTACATAATCCATGACACTTTTCCACTCTTTTACCCTTGTTAAGGTGGAGCAACTCTCCATATATTGGTAATACTTATGTCTTCCCTTTACAGTGAAAATTCTCACCCTGGCATGCTTTTTTTGGTTTATGTTTTTAGGAAGATTCCATGTTGAATGTGACGCGTGAGTGAATATAGTACACCCCTTTTTTACATTCTTCCCAATTCACAAGGTTGCCTGATTTGTCTCAAAATGTCTTTCTACAATCTCAGAAATAGATCCTATGTCAGCCCATGTTTATATTCTGTGACCATGCTTGACTAGGCCAGGGGTAGACATGTGACCTAAGTTCAATCAATCAGATCCTGTTGCCCTAATTATGGAATTAAGACTTAGAAACTGTCAGTTAGAATATTTCTACATGTGGCACAAAACATAACCTATAAATCCATAGATTGTAAGAGATGTGTCTGTGAAGAAAAAATGGGGAACTAAGTGTGATGATGGGTATGTTAATTTGTTCTGCTATGATAACCATTTAAAAATATATATGTATCTTATAACATTTGTGTTTTATACCTTCAATAAGATTTTTGAAATTAAAAAGTAACTGTCAGAGAAGCATAAAGCAGAGATTCATTAAGAAGCCAAAAATAGAGGGTTCAGTTACTTGTATCACAACTTTTCATATCCATGGGTAAAACTCTGTTTCACAAGACATTCCTGTATCTCTATAATACATTCCATGTTTTGTTATTGTTAGCCTATATAAAATTAATTTATGTTACATGCAAAGTCCTAAAAAATATAGGGAGATTTCATACTAACCTAAAGACTCTTAATAGCCTAAGGGAGGTGAGAAAAATAGAGAGTATTTAGGTCAAAAAGAAATTCCTAGAAAAATTTTATATGTTTATCATAAAAAGTAACATACAATGAAAATTATGCAAGATTTGGTGATATTAAATCTATCATGTTAGCGATTCATTATATTTTTGGAGCAGATTCTTGCATCAGCTAAGAGTCAGACCAAATGACCACTAAATTTTTGTCACACTGTTGCCCAATTTTTATCTTTGAGTTGACAAAAAAATATATAGAGAGATATATAAAATGTCATATTGTTTGGATAATTAAAAGATCTTTTCATAGGACCAAGAGTCAGTGACACTCAAAAAGCAATGAATACACCTAGTCTCTCTCAGTCTCAGAACTCCTAGAGAAGTAGCTTATTCCAGGGCAGGGGCAGAACATAGAAGATGAGCCTGGAATATTTTGTTATGCCAGAAAGTGCCAAAAATAAAATGATGGGGGTATGTAACAAGAACAGAGAAGCCTACTTGAAGCAGCTCCCACTGACCAAATCTGGGACAATTTGTTTACCAAAATAATTAAGAACAATAATTAATCTTAAAATATAGAAAAAATAGGAATTCATAAGGCCATACCATTAATTAATTATTAAGAAGAAAGGGCTTTTTGTTACAGTTGATTGTCAATTACCAACTGATAAATGTGAAAAGAGTGCTGAGGTTGGAAAATCAGCATTTTGCAGCCATCATAATTAAGACTAGGTCAGACAAAAATTATCAATAAATGCTGAATCTATAGAGAAATTTTGCAAGAAGTAGAATATTTTCATGAACTTAAATGGTGTCCTTACCGGCTGCTTATTAATAATGAAGAAAAAAATAGCAATTATACTATGGAGAAATTAAACACTTTGATCACATGATGAAAAATACTATTACATTGAAAGTAATGGCAAAAAACACAATTAATTTTGCACCAACTTAATATCAGCAATGATGAACAGATGGACATCATGCATCTCTAGGTGTAATACCCTGAGAAGGTCAAAACATCACCTATGTAGTGTTTTGGCCAAGAATAAATAAACTGAATCTGAAGTTTCATTTTAAAATAACCAGACAAATCCAAATTGAGAAATGTTATATTTTTAAAACGGGGAGAAATATCAATGCCATTTAAGGTAAAGAAAGGCTATGGAAATGTGATAAATCAAGAGTCTAAAAAGACATGGCAATTAAGTGCATTATCTGCCCTGGATTCTGTACTGGGGAAGAAAACCATGCTATAAAGGGCATTATGGGATCAATTTTGAAAACTGGAAAATGGACAATAATTTAAAATATTGTATCAATGTTAAATTTACTGAAGTTGACCGTTGCACTGTGGATATGTGAGAGACTATCCCTATTAGCAAATACACACTGAAGTTATTAGGAATACAGTGAAAAGCCATGTAGTATATAATTTACCCTGCAATGGTTCAGAAAACAACAGAGAGAGAGAGAGAGAGAGAGAGAAAGAGAGAGAGAGAATAGATAGAGCAAAGTATAAAACAAATGGGGCAAAATGTTCACATAGGTGATTCTGGGCAAAAGCTTTGTATGTTCTTTGAACTATTTTTATTCTTGCATTTTTTCTTTAACTTTGAAATTATTTCCAAATAAAAAGTTTAATTTTAAAAAAGATCTGTTCAGAGACCAGAATGAGACCATGGGAAATGTCTAATGAGGCATCTCAAACTGTTCTAAGGGATGTCAATAGGTGTTCTGAAAATATAAATAGTTCAAATTTAAACAAAGTTTAAAATGTTAGGGTAAACAAAAATACAAGTTTCTTTATTGAAAAACTCAGAACCTTCCTTATGTTGCTGATGGAGATGGTGAAACTCTAAAAAAAAGTTGGGTGGGGGGCTTTAGCTTGAAGTATTTACCAATTTACCAAATTGGTAAATTTACACAATTTCTCTTGCACATAGGCATAATTTAGTAGCTTTCTTCTCTAGCACTATTTACCAATTGGTAAATTTACCAATTTATCAAATATCTTTGGGCACTGAACTCCTTTTTATTCTCCTGTCTACAGGGAGAAAATTTAGATTTTGATTTTTAATTTTGCCCAATATTCTTATTCTTGTACATCAGAATCAAAGTAATTAATGTATCCAGAATACTTACTCTGTGCCAGTGCATTATTTTTCATTATTGTAAGTGTATGAAGTAGAAGTTACTCTCACCTCCATTGAATAGATACAGCTCAATAATAACTTAATTATACATTTTTAAATAACTGAAAGAGTGTAATTGGATTATTTGTAACACAAAGATAAATGTTTGAGGGGAGGAATGCCCCATTCTCCATGATGTGCTTATTTCGTATTGCATGCCTGTATCAAAACATCTCATGTACTCCATAAATCTATACACCTACTATATACCCACAACAATTAAAAATTAAATAGGTACAGCTCAGAGAGGTCATGCGACTTACCCAAGGTCACACATCTAATAAATCAGAAGACTGACGTGAACTTTGGATACCTGGCTCTGAAGCTGAGTTTGACCTCGACGCTATACTGTCAAAACAATTACTGCCAAAATCTAGACCCTTCACTCCCAATCTTGACCTCTCCCTAAATTACTAAATAAAATGACCTAATTTATTTTCTATCTTAATTTTCAATCACTCAAAGAGTTGAAAAATCTACTAATTATCATGGTGCTCTGATTATGTATCCTTCATTTTTATATTTAACAATGAAAAGTAAATTTCTTATATTTCCTGATACATATGACAATTACCTCAAATACTAAGACACACAGTTTACCTTAAATAATTCTAATTTCTGCATTGTTTGTGTGTTGTCTCATATTTCTAAGGCAATAGCCTCTCACTTCTAGAGACTTCAGAATATTATTATTATTATTAAGTAACATTTACATAGCACTTTATATTGCCAAGTGTTTTACAATTAATTCTAGCAGTTGTTCCTCCCAGGATTCTCCTAATGTAAGACAGTGGTTTGTTAAATCCTCTGAATAGACCACAAATGAAAATTATTTCAAATAGGTCTAGTGGAACTTTTTCTAAGTTTCAAGACCACTCTTTTGGGTGCTACAATTAGCAATGTCTCTCAAGAGCACAACCCAAGAAACATGGCCAATGAAATAATTATCAATTCAAAAAGTTGATAGTGCTAGAGAAGAAAGCTGCTAAATCATGCCTATGTGCAAGAGAAATTGTGTCTAAAATATTTTTACTGCTGATTAGTTTCTGCAGTTAGTTGCACATCAGGCTAATTTTCTTTCCACTTGCAATTTTCAAGAATCTTCACTGTAGGCTAGACTTTGAATTCCTACTTTAATGGAAGTTCTAAACAGCTCCTTACTTTGATACGTATTACAATAACATTTCATGAAAAAAAGAACATGGATCTGTTATTTAATAATGAAGAATTGTGGTACAAACAGCAATGCTTGTCTTAGCAACCACTGATGTAGAAATTGACAGCTTTTAGGCTGCAGTTTCCTCTGCCCAACTTGGCTGGTAACTTTCTAATGAAATGACAGTTTGCCAGCATGCAAAGCCACTAGACTTGCACAGCTAAGTGTATGTCTACAAGAACAACATTGTGATCTTAGTTACTGTATATGTTACTTGCTTAAGTTTATCAATCAAAATCTACCAGAAGCAGAGCCAATGGTGAAGCCAGCTACAAAGGTGAATTCAGGTATCAGCTTTCTGTTTATAAAGAACGAAACAGTGTGGACATTGCCCTAATGTCTAAATTATAAAACTGTGGCGTGATTGATTAAAATTATAACTGTGTTCAGTAATTAGATCAACTCCACAAAGGGGATTCAAACCAAAGTCGAGTTTTGGGAACCATTTTGTGTCTCTCTTCAGCCTGACTGTCCAGCCTAATTTTCAACTACATTGAGCCCTCATAGGTTGTTGCATCTGAGGCTTTGCCAAGACCTAATGCTCTCCCATGTCCTTTTCTCTCTTCTCCTCCCTCTCCCTCAAATCCTAACTGCTTCCCCATCTTCTTGTCAACTTTTACTCTTTCTTTTTAATCCCTGCCATATGTGATGGCTTACATCTATAATCCCAACACTTTGGGAAGCTGAGGCAGGAGGATTACATGAACCCAGGAGTCTGAAACATGCTTGGGCAACATAGTGAGACCCTGACTCTACAACAAGTGAAATAAAATAAAAATTAGTTAGGTGTGGTCACCACTGCACTCTAGCCTGGCCAACAGTGTGAGACCTTGTCACTAAAATAAAAACAAACAAAACAAAAACAAAAACAAAAAACCTTGCCCAGGCATTACATCCTCTGTTCCTCTGTTTAAATTTTTCTTGACCTCCAATTTCTACCTTACAGTTGTAGGTTATTGTTATCTCTCCAATGTCCTTTTTGTTCTTTTTATTTTTATTGTTTTATTCATCCAATGGATTTATAATGATTTGTTTGTAAGTATATGTGATCCACTAAACCACGGCACCTGGAAAGTGGGCACAGACTATGTCCTACTCCTTCTTTTATCTAAGGACCTACTAGTGTAATGACACATCGTAGGCCATCAGTGAATACTAAAATGATCAGCTGACCTTTAACTAGGTCCATCTAGGAGAATTAACAGCTAAGAGATTAAAAAACATGTTAAGATAATAATGAATGGTATACATTATTTTTATAGCTTTTTGGGTAAAATGATCTAGAGACATTTTAAAAAATTGAACAATATAGAAAACACAAAAAAGAAAGTAACAAATTACCAGTTATCCATAGATAACTAGTCACATATACATTAATATGCATTTATAAACATGAGTATACAATTCTACAGAAACGGCATAATTTTACATAAACTCTTATGTAATCTGATTTTATTAACTCAATTATATATGGTACGGATACTTTTCCATGTCAATAAATATAACCTAAGTCTCATTCCAGTAGCAGCAGAGTAGTTCATAATATGAACATAACATACTTCAATATGTTATGAATAAATTACTGTATTCAATTTTTCATTATTGGAAATATTGTCACAATGATGTTTTGGCTAAAAATATGTTACTATGGAACCCTTGGGCCACTATTCATGGGATTGTAAAATGGAATAGCCATTGTGGAAGACAGTATGGTGGTTCCTTAAAAAATAAAAAAAATGGAATTATCACATGATTCAGCAATTCCACTTCTGGGTATATACCTAAAAGAATTGAAAACAAAATGTTGAAGAGATATTTGTGCACCCATGTGTATAGCAGCTTTATTCACAATGGCTAAAACGTGGAAGCTACCCAAATATGCATCAATGGATGAATAGATAAACAAAATGTGGTACATACATGGGAAGGAATATTATTCAGCCTTAAAAAGGAAGGAAGTTCTGACCTATGCTACAACATAAGTGAACCTTAAGGACATTACACCAAGTGAAATAAGCCAGTTACAAGCAGACAAACACTGTATGATTCTACTATGAGGCACTTAGAGTAGTTAAAATCATAGAGATAGAAAGTAGAATAGCAGGGACTAGAGGAAGGAGGGAATAGAAGTTGTTAATGGGTATTGAGTTTCATTTTACAAGATGAAAAAGAATTATGAAGAGAGATGATGGTGATGTTTGCACAACATTACAAATGTATTTAATACCATTGAATTATATACTTACAAATGGTTAACATAACATCATAAATTTTATGTTATATGTATTTTACCGCAATAAAAAAATGGAAAAAAATGTGTGAGTGACAATTATTAGTGAGACAAAGCATCTTTTCATATGTTTACTGTTCATTTGTATTTCCTCTTTTGTAATTTACTATTATAGCCTGTTGTTCTAGTATTTTGACAAGTATTTCACGAAGGATTGCCAGTGCTTCTCAACAGAAAGAAGTAACTAATGTTAGAACTTCAGGTAAGGAGTCAAGGGAATGTGGAAGAATATTTGTGAAGCATGTGCCTTTAAGTGCCTATCAAATCCTAGAACTTTACGGGCTCTTGCCAGCAATAACAATAGCGCTGTGTTATATGCTCAATTTGTAGAAATATGGGCTTCACCTTTGGTGGTATTTCCATTGTGAGGTAAGGAGTTTAGAAAATCAGTGTGTTTGTCTATCAGATTTTTTGCTTTTCTTCAAAGTAATCCCTCACAATGTTCACTGAAAAATATTTAAGACTAAGTTACTGACCTCAGAGATTTTATTTAGGGTTTACATGTCACTATGCAATCTGTTTTTCCCACAGGAATTTAAAATAAACACATTAAAATAGAATTTACATATTTGAAATTACAGTCTAAAAGCTGACTTATTTTCTGGAGATTTCTATGGCCTATATTTAACTATAATATTTGACACAATTTATTTCCCAAACCACGCTCTATCTTTCTGAGATCTTTAATCCTACAGGGTAAAATAAGACAGTTTCAAGTACAGCTCTAAATACACACCTGTGTATCCCTTTTGTGTCACAATTCACAGTGGCTTTGTTGATCTCTAAAGTACTAAAAAGAATTTGATTTTCATGCCATAAACACCATTATTCTGAACAATTGAAAGATGAGTAGGTGAGAGTCTGGGTAGTGTTGTTTTCTAAGCAAAAATGGAAAAGCAAAGTTTCAGGATCGATTTTTGTCAGATATGTGAACACCCGTTCTATAGAATTTAGCTCCTGTTTTGACAGCTTATTGAATACTCCCTCAACTTTTCCCGCCTGTTAATGTCTCCCATTAATTAATACCCATTCTCTGTTCACAGTTTTGATAGAATAGCAGTAGTTGTTAACACAACACTCATAATCACAATTGTACAGGTATGTATTTTGTCTGTGTTATGTGTAAGCCTCAGATATTAAATATTAGGAGAAAAGTAAAGTAAAATTTCTAGAAATAAAATTGTTTTGTAATAACAATAAGAACGGTTTTTATTTCATTTTTTTCCTTTCCTTATGCTGGTATCAAACTCCATAAAATATCTCCCTATATTTCCTTTATTTTTTGTATGAATGAGACTACAATAATTGGATTTAAAATTTTTTTAATACATCTGGAAGACACTGTTTTGTTACTTGCTAGAACCGGGGAGCAACATTTTACAATGCAAATAATGGTCATCAAGGGATGTGACATGTTCAAATACAATTTTTCCCTTAGGGTTCAAAGCAATTTAGAAATATATAACCTTTCAACATTTTTAAAGTGTGCAGAATTTTGGTACAATGTTTCTCCAAATTTTTAAGAGCGTAACATTCTGAAAAATAACGACAATTAAGTTTTACTGGAGGAGCTGAGGATGGTGACTGGTATAGATCTTCATATGAGTTTTTAAAAGTTATGCATGTGCATTTGTAAAAATTTGACTATACAAAAACCTTTTTTAAAAAACAATTTTAATATTCATACAAATATTTTGGACGGTTTTGTGTTTTCCTTCAAGGTTTTTTTTTCCTGTACATCGATGTTTCTTTATTACACAATTGTGACATCACATCAAAAGCATATCCCCATGTTACTACATCTTTTTCAAAACCATTATTTTAATGTCTGAATTAAATGCTGTTGAGTACAATTAGTAAACACTGAAAGTTTACTTAGTAATTCTCCTACAATTAAGCATTTGCTTGCCTCTTTAAAAAAAACTATAAATAAATCTCTGAAAAGCATCATAATGCCTACCCTCAAATTTAAAATTGTTGCTTTAAGTTTCTAAAAATGGAATTATTAGCTCAAAATACATACTTACATGTGTTTTTACAAAGAAATGTATATGTATTCATACAGCATATGTATTTTGTGTATTTATGTGTGTATATATAATATGTATTTTATATATGTGTATATGTATGTAACTGAAAATTGAAAAGTGGTTCCTGCAATTATGTGTATATATATATATATATGAAAGAGAGAGAGAGAGAGAACCAGTTGCACTCCTGCCAGCAATGTATAAGCTGAACTCTGAATTTCATAGAACCATTGCAAGCATTGGGGGTTACAATTTTTTTTCATCTTTTTTAGTTGATTGGTCAAAAAAAGGAGGTTATTTGACTTCTCTTTTATGTTTATTTGATTATCAGACAGATTTGTTGCAATATACTTCTAGACTACAGTAAAGATTTCACTTGAATACAGTTAGAAATGTGACAAATAAAAAAGATATAAAATTGAAATAATATTTATAAAATATGTTATTTAAAAAGTATGACTGAAATTGCAACTAAATTTACTAGTGTCTACTAGCTTTCTCCCTAAAGTAAATCAAAGACTATCGCTATGCATAAGTGAGTTTGGGGGTAATAAAAGAAAATCATTTTGAAAGCAACTGGCTAGAAACAAGTCTTCCCTGTTTTGCGGGGGAGAGGGGGCAACTTGAACTGCTCTACTCTGAAAATCCATTTTGGATTTAGGATTAAGGAAATTTTTTGCTTTTTCTATCAAGAGCTACTGGGAAACAAAAAGGAAATCAAGGCTTCATTAAAAAAATGATGTATTTTTTATGAGAGAAATACAAAACTTTGACTATTGATAATAGATTATTAAAGAGAAAAAAATTGAACCTTTCTGCAGAGATTTACAACAGTTATTTAAATATAATATTTAGTTCACTGTCATAGTCAGCTAAGAAAAACAGATGAAGGGAGGAACAGAAGAGAGAAGCAACAAAATGAAAAGATAGAAGAAAAAAGGGAAAAAAGACAAGTAAATAGGAGAAATACAGCGACAGCTACAGAAAGGAAGAAAGACAAGTAAGCACAGAGCCATAAAGGAAGGAAAAAAGAGGAGAGTTGGGTTGAAGTCTGTGAGGGGAGTGTTAGTTCAAGCCAAAGAAAGCTACTTTGGTCGCTCCGTGGCGTGTGCTGGGACATGAACCCCTGATTGTTAGCTTTTGTGATCACTGCTTTCAAATGCTGACTTAGTGTCAGAACACTGATGAACTGTTGAGCAATATAAACGTGAGATCATACCTAGGTTTCCATAATTGTCTTTGATGGAACATTTAAACAATAAAATCAAAAGGCAAATCGATTAACACAAAAACTTTTTGTTCAAGAGTACGACTGAGAGAAAGAAGAGGAGAGTGGTTCCTGTAATTATGTCAAATTCAGCTTGAGTTTAATAATGAAGAACCAACCTAAACAATTTCCTAAGAAGTTTGTTCAGCTCACCAGTTATCTGCACAAGTAGCTCCTGGGCAAGTGTTGCCTAATTTCACTAATATAAGGATAAATTATTTTCCCATTAACTTGGAACAATAGTGAAGCACTGGTTTATTTTTATTTTTGATTATTTTTTACATAAGTATGTTTTTCTTCCTTCCAAAAGAAACCACCAGGGAAGCCTCATTTTCGTTACATTAATATGGTGTGCCATTCTTGGCGGGGAACTGTAGGTGTTGCTGAAGCTACATAGCAGAAAAAGCTAAGCCAGGCCTCTAATTCTTTGGCTTATTACAGTTCTATTTTAGCCCTGTCCTCTTTTTCCCACTCAAATTCTGTAGCCTAGCATGTGTTTGGATATGCTGCATCCTCCAGTTCTTCACACTAAATATACTCTCAGAAGCCACGAGCAAAACTTGCAGATGAGTCATTCTGTTTGGAAGACTTAGCTCCATGGTGGACAGCTCGTAAACTGGAACAGATTCAGCTGGATAGGGGGAGTAGGGACAACAGTAGTTGGTTCATTGTGTTCTGCAAAAGGAGCCAAGGGGGGTTGGGGGGTGGGTGGTTTCAGAGTAAATTGAAGCAAATGCTCATATTACACTTTAAAGAAAAGTTGGTTAAAGAGACAATACTCTTAATGATAATACTCTAAAGCTTAGAATTTGTGTTCATCACTTGTTTTGGGGGTCAGGCACTTTTTTGTTGTTGTTGTTATCCTTTGACCAATTCTCAGAGCATAATTTGTTTCCAGTCTTTTTGTTCTAAGAGTGAAAAGGTCAACGCCCTTTGACACGGCATGAGCTGTTCAGTGCACAAGGGGAAACGTCACCAGCAGTGCTGGACTTAAAACAACTTCAGGGCAACCAGAGTCAAACACAGGAAGTGTTGTTCAAGCCCCTAGAGAATACTGGCTTTGTTTATTAGCCAACTTACATCTGGTTGAATTGCTAAGTGCCACTATCTTGAATGAGCAGATATATCAGAGACTACAGACCCAGATGAGGTATTTGTAGGCATGATATAACAACATCACTCTCCTAAAGTGTCCCCTACAGGAACCTAAACACAGAGTGGCTATTTTCTTAAATGGGAAAAGTTCCATCTCAGGTCCCCATAGTCCAATACACGCTAAATGATTCTACAAATGAACAAACGCTGCTTTGATGAGACAGTAAATTTAGTGGGAAAAATAATCAACCAAAAATGCAGAAAAAAATTGATTTTTAAAATAAACAGTCTAATCAGAAAATGAATTACACATTCAATCTTGTGAAGTTTTTTAATGATTTCACATAGGAAACACTTACCTACTCAAAATAACATCAGAAACATGTTTATGTATGTGGCATGTGTAAATTTCTAAGTGTTCAATGAGTTATTAACTGTTGTTTTAGTGGTATGAGAAAATGGTTTAACTCCATTTCACAGATTAATTGAGAAAGAAAGGTTAAGTGTTTTGTTTAAGGTCACTCAGCAAATCTAAACCAGAGACACATTTAGTTCTTTGAGTTACTGACTTCCTGTCTGTGTTTTAAATCTGTGAATCATTTTGCTTCTAAATATACTGAAGGAGATTCAAGGCCCTAGGGAAAAAAAATCACATTGTGTCACAGTACCTCATTTGAAAATAGGGAAAATCTGGACAAATTGTACACGTACCTTAGTCTCCAGGATCAAAGATAGTACTAAAGAGGAAAAATAAATGCAGCCTGAAGACGGAAAAGTCCTAAATAGTTATTAAACACCTTGGCCATGCAAAGAGCTCTTTGCTTACAGACCAAGAGTTAAGATACTTGAGTTCTGGTCCCAGCTCTGCCATATACTTACCTAGATGGTTCTTAATCTCTAAGTCTGATTTTCCTTATCTGTAAGTGGATATAACAAGACCTGGGACGGGCATGGTGGCTCACGCCTGTAATTCCAGCAATTTGGGAGGCCGAGGCAGGTGGATCACCTGAGGTCAGGAGTTCAAGACCAGCCTGGCCAACATGATGAAACCCCATCTCTACAAAGATACAAAAATTAGCCAGGCATGATGGCGGGTGCCTGTAATCCCAGCTACTCAGGAGGATGAGGCGGGAAAATCACTTGGACCCAGGAGGTGGAGGTTGTAGTGAGCTGAGATCACACCACTGCACTCCAGCCTGGGGGACAGAGTAAGATTCCGTCTCAAAAAAAAAAAAGACCTGACCTTTCTCAGGAAAGTCATGAACATCAAATGGGTTTATGAACACAAAAGAGTATTTTAAAGAATATCATAACTTATAAAGTGCTGTACAAATTCCATTAGTGATTGTGGTAGTGGCCCTATTGTCATACTAGAAAGGAAATGGCAGGAAGCCAATGAATAAAATAAATGTCATAAATTAATGGCTCTTAATCATTTTATATCACCAGCCCCACTGAAAATGCAATGAAATTCATAAACTCTATTTTCAGAAAAGTTCACATTCAGAAGTACATCCAAAATTTTAATTGTAATCTCAAGAGACTCAAAGATCATCTGAATTCTATGTGTTCATAGAATTCACATTAAGAATACTTGTGGAGGAAAAAGAAAAATGGCAGATTACCTGGAAAGCAAGAGGCATGGGAATCAACTAGTTAAGAGTCATTTAGAGGTGTACATGTGTACAGACAGATTGCTGATTGATGAATGGTGTTAACATGTCTTTGTCCAGGAGAGAAGAAAATTCCCTAACCATTCATGAGAATTCTAGGAGCACTCTCACAGAGTTGTAGGGAGAAACCCAGAAGAGGGTGTTGTAGGGTGGGGGAAAAAGAAGAGGGAAAGGGATGAAGGAGAATGGCAGCCAGACATTCTGACTGGGGCAGGAGAGTAACTAACAGTACTAGCCCCTGCATTCTTCTGGTTCTCCTGCCTGTAGACTCTGCAGGAGGCCACACTGAGACTAATTCTAGCTAGAGATGGGGGGATAAAAGGGACCCTAGCTGTCAAGATCACTTTCCATCAAAGCCAACCTGTGGCTGAGCTGCTTCTAACATTCACTCTCAGGCTCTCTATGAATGAATTTCATTACCTGCTCTGCTGCCTATAGTTATGTTTCTATAACTGGATTTTGACAATCCAAATGTAGACATGACTTCAGACTTACTCTAAGGGACTCCAGTGTGTTCCACATGTCCATTTCCCTTGTGTTTGTCTCAAGTCCACTTTCTAGATTCATATATTCTATAATATATGATATATCTAGATGCCTTAGTCTTGACTGTGCAGTTGAATTCCCATATTCTCTTGACTTTGAATTCAGGACACATTCTAATCCTTCCTTCTTCTGGCTTAACATTATTTCTCCTGACTCCTGATCTGAACAGTGGTGATGTTTTGTGAAATTGCTAATTTGTGTAATACCAGCAAATGGTTTTGGATCTTTCTCCTCCCATGGATGCTTCTTGAACCGCTGAGTCACTCCAGCAGGAGAGACCTCCCGAAACTAAAGAGTGGCTCCTCTAATTTGCCATATGTTTTATAGTTCTGAATTTGCCTAAAGTTTCTGAAAACAAAATCGTTCATAAGAGATGAAAATATGGTTCTTATTTGTTGAGCTATCTTTTATAATGAAATTGCAGGTTGGTACCTTTGTTTATAATGGTGCACATGTGCATACACACACAAATGTCCTTCCTTTCTAATAAATACCTTGGCATGTACTGTTCATGCTAACGCTAACTTTCTGCACTCTCAGATGTATTTTTTTTTTGTAGCCCACACAAAATCTCTAACTGTGTGTTCTGTTACATAACGCAAGACTTGGTTATATTCTTTTCAGCACTTACCTCTGCAAGATACTCAACTGGAGAAAAAAAAATGAAGCTTGAAAAAGGAGTAGAGAGGTGGAATTAATAAGTAAGGCCAGACACCTCTGACTCCACTGTACTTCTCTAAGTGTTAGAAATGGTAATTTATTTTAAGAATCATAAATTTACTCTATTATATGAAATTCTGAATAGAGGTCTTTTTTTTTGAGTCCAAACTTTAAGAACCCTAGCAAAACCTCTTGCTAATCTACGCGTTTTATGCGATGCTAAGAATAAAGATTTTGACAAGCACATTATTCCATTAATCTGAAGAAACAACAGATCATTTGGCATGTACTGTAAAACATTTTATGGAAAGCACATAAATATATAACCTTATGACCTCAATAAAGTTGATAATCTACAAAGTTATTTCATTTGATACTTAATCTATACTCTCAGAATCCAGTTCATTACTTTTTACTCTATCACATAAGGCTTTCAATATAAAGTTAAGATGTGCTAATAATAAATCTTTCTTCCTTTCTTTTTTTTTTAGACAGAGTTTTCTCTTGTCCCCCAGGCTGGAGTGCAATGGCACGGTCTCGGCTCACTGCAACCTCTGCCTCCTGGGTTCAAGTGTTCTCCTGCCTCAGCCTCCCGAGTAGCTGGGATTATAAGTGTGGCCACCACACCTGGTTAATTTTTGTATTTTCAGTAGAGACAGGGTTTCACTATGTTGGCCAGGCTGGTCTCGAACTCCTGTCCTCCGATGATCCGCCCACCTCGGCCTCCCAAAGTGCTGGGATTACAGGCGTGAGCCACCACGCCTGACCGATAAGCTTCTTTTCAATTAAACAAGTCTCATTTTATACAAATATTGCAGGGAATATTACCAATTTCAAAAGTACCTTCTAAAAACATTAGCAAATATTTTGCTAAACTTAAGCACTAAAAAAAATCTAAGTTACTTTAAACAGCATTATTTTATTAATAGATGGTTACAATATTTATATGAGATAGATAGGAGAAGGATAATAGTTTCTGAGGGCTCCTAAGTTTCATTGATTGCCTCTAGATGGCAAGTAGCACAATTATATCATGATATTGATATTAATTTGTACTTATATTGTCAGACTGAAAAATAAGACATTGTTTTGGAAACAACTTCATTGAAGCACTGGGAAAAGAATGTGTTGTGCTGAAAACCTCCAATCTGCAACCCATGGTGTACAGCAAATAATGGAGACATTTATATGACACCCATATAATTATGGTATAAAATCTGACCCCATCTTATTTACTCAATTATATATTCATCCATTCTGCCATTCATGCATTCACTTAATCTACAAATATGTAGTGCCCACTTTGTTCCAGGCACTGTGCAGGGCTCTGGAAATATGCAGATGAATCAAACATGATTCTTGCCCTCAAAGAACTTGAGGCGATTATGAGAGGAAGAAAAATAAATGTTATGATATGTTGACTAACAAATTTAATAATAAGTGCTTTGCTAAGTAGTGTATTTAATGATTCATTGTGTCCAGGAGAGGGACAAATGAGATGACAGTCTTGAAAAGGGAGATTATGAAGCACAAGTTTGAAGGAGAAGTATTAATTAATGTTTTCATTTTCAAGCCGTTTTTACTTGGGTATTGTTACTCACAGCCCAAGGTCTCCTGATATAAGTTTTCAGCAGTTGCATTATAAAATTGCTGTTTTTATAGCTCCAAACCTGTTCAATACTAGCAATTTCATGTGCTTCAACTTGAGAGCGAATGTAAAGAGACCAGGGTTTTAAGCAAAGGATTAGTGTGTCATGATTTTCATCCTAGAATGATCATAGTGACAGCAGAATGTAGGCAGGATTTATGGAGCGGGGATAGAAGGGTGTCTAACACAGTAAGTAAGGAGATCAGTTGGAAGCCTATTCCAATAGTTGAGTTGAAAGCTAATGGGGTACTAAATTAAGGCAAGAGCAGCAAGGATGACACGGTATAGGGCTACAAGTGGGAAAGATGTTAAAAAAGCAGAACTGACAGATTTGGTAACATTGAAATCAGAACATGAGAGAGAAAGGGAAACTCCACAAAGATTTTTTGGCTCAAGTAGGTAATTTTACTGTCCAGTAAAATTAATAGTTTGTTCTTAATTCTGTATTTTGACATGGGACACTTGTTGGTCCTGGCAAGCCCTGGACCATCTTTTCATCTTCGCTAAAACACCTGTCTGCTCTTATTCTCTCACGAGGCTAGTGTTTTTTCTCAAAGACTTGTTTTTTGGGACTCAATGTCTATCCCACACGTTTTGTTGCTAAAGAACACACAACTTTGTCCTGTTGTTATTTGAGAACCAGGGGCAGACACAAGGGTTGGCCTTCCCCAGTGGAGATGTGAGGTCTTTGCATACAGAAGCCAGAGCCTGAATTCTACTTCTTGATTGTCCTTGTAACATCTGACATTGACATATGCATAAGGAAAGCAAAACTGACTTCAATTATGGCAGCATATCAGATGCTTCCTCGTGGTAAAGTGCAGAAAATTTTAAAGAAATGTTTAATTATGGGAAGAAGTGACAACTGTACATCCCAGCCATAGTTGCCCAGTCTCTTCTGATCTCAAGTTACAGAACAATGCCCTATGCCTGATTGGGTACCAGACATCTACTTCACCTCCTTAATCCTTATGCCTATTCTGTCTTATGTCTTTTGCTTATTATGCCTTATGCCTATTTGGAAAATTAATTTAAAAACTGGAAGAGTCTGACATATCCTATAATAATGAGAGCTTTATTACTTTTTTAAATAAATCTGAGAGTGGGAATGATTGTTAGATAATTTAAATTTTAAGGATTCTATAAATAACAAAATATTTTGCTTTTAGAAAACTGTAAATGAAAACAGCATTGTATTAGCCTGTTTTCATGCTGCTAATAAAGACATACCTGAGACTGGCTAATTTATAAAGACAACGAGGTTTAATGGACTCATAGTTCCACATGGCTGGTGAGGCCTCACAGTCATGGCAGAAGGCGAAGGAGGAGCAAAGGCACGTCTTACATGGTGGCAGCAAGAGAGTGTGTGCAAGGGAACTGCCCTTTATAAAGCCATCAGATTTCTTGAGATTTATTCTTTATAACAAGAACAGCATGGGAAAGACCTGCCCCATGATTCAATTACCTCCCACTGGTTCCTACCCATGACACATGGGGATTATGGGAGCTACAATTCAAAATGAGATTTGGGTGGGGACACAGCAAACCATATCAAGCATCAACAACAATCTGACTTTGAATACAATTTTTATATATTTATCAAGAACTGAGCATACATATTTTAGTGATACATGATTTTCTTAAGTTTATTATATAAAAAATTCCTGAAAAATAAGAAAGTGTATATTATTCAACAGAGTTAAACAATTTAACATGTATTCCATTTTTTTGTGTGTGTGGATGGTTTCCACAATTACACAAGGTACAAGAGTTAAATACTTGACTTTTGATTTTCTAAACAAAAAATGTAGATTCTTCCTTTTGCTTATTTAGGAGACAGACAAATCCATGATTCTAAAAATCTTCAACAGTTCTCTTTATATCTTCACATGTAATTTTAACATTTTGATATAGTCTATCTATATTGCATATGAAACTGCAAAATTTGAAGAATAAAAAGGATCTATTCAAATTATCTGCTATTACATGAACAATAATAATGGTAATAAAAAGAATAATTATGCAACTGCATGCCACTCAAAGGACTCATTTAAATTATGCAAATTAAACATAAGGTCATGTAATACTAAGAGAAAAGAACAAAAATATGCAAAATAGTGTACTTCTATTGCTGGTTTTAATATTAGAAATATTCATATCACAAGCATATAGTGTGTGTCTCATTTTTTAACCTCTGTACCATAAAAACAAATTAGTTTTTCTTATCTTATTGGGTACTCTGAAATTTCAGCAGTACACAATTTTATAGATAAGCTGGTTTCATCCAAAGAGAAGAATATTTTTTGAGCATTTGATTTTTTAAAAATTTTTAAAAATTTTAACTAAAGAACATTTTTGTCTAGTTATAGAAAGATGTATTGTAAAAAAAAAGATTGGGAAAATATAAAATACAAAATATAAAATATAAAATAAAAGCCACCTATTTGAAATTAGCATGACCTCATTTTGGTGCAATTCTTTTTCTTTTGTTAAATGAAATTTTTTTGTCATAATAGGTATCAAATTGTGTTCTTGTTTTATCATGTTTCTTTTGTATTTCATTTATTTGTATTATATCATGAACATTTTCCCAGATGTTTCTTGAAACCTGAATTTTTAATGATGTCATAAAATTTTTTACATGTGTATTTAGTATTTAACTATTTTATTATTTTTATTCTCTTCTTATGGCCTACTTTTGTATAAATCATACTGTAAGAAATATTTATATTATGTTGCAATAAGAATTACTAATTATTTTATTTGAATAGATTGCTAGTAGGTTAGGAAGTTGTAGGAATTTGTGGTATGGCTATGAATAGAATTGGATTAAATTTATGAGTAGGATTAAGGATATAATAAATAGGAACATTTATTTCTTAGTACAAATTAGCAAATTTTTTACAGAACATCTATATGAATTTGTACACATTTCAGCAACCCAGATCACTATAAATTTGCCAGTGGTGATGAAAATAATCTTATTTTATTAGTATTTCTTTGGTTACTACCAAAGTTGAAAATTTTTCATGTATTTCCAGGCCCATTGTCTTTCTCTATTACATGGTTCTACAAGACCTTTATTCATTTTTCCACTGGGTTGTTATTTAAAAATAATTTGGGAGAACTCTTTCCTCTTACTATACTTGTTGCAAACATTTTTAAATTATTTTAGTTATTAACTAAAATGCTTAACATTTTAGTTAATCATTTGCTTTTTATTCATGTTTGACATACAGAACTATCAAGCTTACATGTGGTCAAATTACTAAATAATAACCTTTAAGATTTTTTTCTGTTGCTTTTATGCTCAAAAATTGCGTCATAATTTTAAGACTTTTATTTTTAGTTTTAACTTCTAGATCCACAGGAAAATTATATTAGTAAATGAAACGACTTGGTTTTTTTCCCCAGAGAAAATTGTTCTGACATTTGTTGAATTGTACTTTTTTATTATTTGTTCCACTTTACAAATTAGTTTACATTTTGTCATTTAAGATTATCTAGTCTATTCCACTGACTGGTTTATTGATTCTTATATACATTCTCCATTTTAAAAATCATTATTATTCTATGCTATGTTTTAACATTTGGGAAAGCAAGCCCCCACTACTATTACTTTTCATGTCACGTATTAATCTTTTAGATGAACTTATCTGAAGAATTTCAGAATTAATTCTGAAAGAGATGAACATTTATTCTTCTAAAATCATCTTTTATTATCTTTGAGCACTTCAAATGACACTTCTATATTTGTACCTTACACAAAGGATAAAGACAGTAAATATAAAATATCACCTACATTTATTCCAAGTACATGCTAAACACATTCACATACAACGTAGCTTACTTAACCCTCAGTTACTCTGTGAAGATAGGATTAATTATCCAAATTTACACAAGAAATTTTAAGACTCAGTGGTTTTGTTTTATACAGCACTGTAGCAAAAACACAGGTAAAATTATTCCAAGCTTAATGTTCCTTTCATAATATCACATTTTGTACCTTACTTGAAAAAATGAAACCCTTAATTTTATAGGCTACTATTTTATTTACAATGTATGTAGCAAAAATTATATTTTATGTAATCAGTGTGTATTTTTCTTTTTTATTTATTATCTTGATGAGATATTTTGAAATGAAGTGTGTCAGAAAAGAATACGTGGAGACCCTAAAGACAATCACATAAACTATGGTTTACTTTCAAGCCACAGTGAAGTTTCAGGAAAGTCACTTGGTTTTAATTTGCTTATCGTAAATAATATCTGTCCTTCATCTTCTAAAAACTAATGACAATTAAAGACCTACATTTTTTTTTGCTAGTTGAGTACATGCATACAATGCACCGGAATGAAATTCCATATTAATACTCAACAATTAAATGTGTGTGAAATATTGTAGTCTAATGGAAAAATCCTATTGTTTTCATTCGCTTCCAGTTAAATTCACAGCTATGCTAGAAATCCATATCTAATCTAATCTTTCAGTAGTCCCATTTCTGCATCGAATTAAGTTAAATTTTTAGATTGTTCTCAAATATTGGGATAAATTGGGATTTTTTTTGGTTGCAAGTGATGGAAACATAATTTAAGAAAACTTAAGGAAAATGTGGTGGCTCATTTAACTGAGTAAGATAGAGATATCTGAATTAAGGCACAATTTGATACAGATGTCAAAAAAATTATTGCCACAAACTTCTTTCTTTGCACATCTTTCTAGAAGCCTCTATGTTGGTTTATTTATCTAGAAAGTGTCAGAAAAATGAGAATGATCTGAGATTTACCTTGCTTGTAAGTTAGCAAGTTAACCTGCCTCAGTTATATAAATGCTGACAGAAAACATGAGACTGCTGGACCAGAGGCAAAGGTATATTTCTGTGAATCCCTCTAATCCGTAAATATCATGAGGGGATACAGAAAAGCCTAGGTGCATGCCTGCCCAGGTAGTAGGTTGTGTTGCAGTAGAGGAAATCTGAGCTTAGAGAGCCTGAATCTTTTCTGATGCGCAGTAGGCATTCCTTTCCTTTGTTCTGGATCTCTTTCTCTCTTCCCAAGGCTATTTACTGAGCAAGCATATTTTTAAGTATAGTCTGGAACCAAAGGCAGTTCATACTTTATACACAAGATGGACAGAAATGTGAGAAACCCATTGAGAACTGTATACAAACAGAAGGCTTTTTCCATAAGGGGGCAAAGAAGACCACCACTTACATTCTACTGTCTGAGCAATCTCAGCAGAAAGAAAAAAAATGTGCTTTTTCTCAAAAGTCCTGCATAATATGCATATCCTTGGACCACTGTAATTCTGACTGATCAGGCCAGGAATTGTGGTCCTCTTTAAAGCAGAATGGTCAGATCAACCTCTCAACAAACACATACGTTTAGAGTTGGAAAGAGCTGGCTGCCCAAAGAAATATTTGGGTATTTTTAACAGACGAGTACTCCACATCAGTATTCCCTTCTGTACTGTTAACAGAAGGGAGTATCAATATGAAGGAAAGAAAATGCAGAAAAGGTCTATATCATCGACCCTTTTCCTCTCTAACTTTGTGCTCAATATTCTCTCTGCTTTTGTGTACTATCTTTCTCTTTCATCTCTATGTGTCCATATCCTTGACATCCTACAAACCCATGTCCATGTGCACACTCCAGTATGAAGACTACAATTTTCTCTTTACAGCTAGAAAGTCCTTCTCTGGATTCACTTAGTATATCTCTTCCTCAATTTTACTGGGACATTTTGCTTTCTATCTTGTATTACAGAAATCTCTTTAAATGTCTTAACTTTCCCCACTAGACTGGGATCTCCTACCAAGGTCATGTCTCTGCCTCTCTGTATCCCTTATGAGTCAATGCGTATTACTGGTGATTAATATATGTGTACTGAATAAAGGGAAGGATATTTAATTAAATTTTCATCTCTTATATATCTTGACTAACAATGATGGAACAATTATGAGGCCAGGAGTCCAGAGACATTGCTTTATTTTCTATTTTTACTATACACTGGTTGGTCACCTTAAGCAAATCTATAAACCTGTCTGAGGCTCAATTCCTTCATTTGTAAAAAGGTGACACTATGTGCTCTTCCTAATATGGTTATTGAGATAATCACATGAGGAAATGCACATGAAATTACTTTAGAAATGTAAACCACTCTAATAATTAATGAATTTCATTTTCAAATAACAAGTGAGCCATTTCTGTTATATGAATTCAATGTGTTTAATATTAGCAGAATAGTTATACAAAAGTAAGTAGATGTAATTTGAGAAATGCTTGGGAAAAAAATCTGTCTGTGCAAAAATATATTTCTTGTTATCTCTAATTCCTCCATCTCCTTTAAATTTATCTGAATTAATTTTAGGAATGCTTATCTCCAAAACTTCCCATAAAAAAGAAAGTTATCAATAATACATTAAGCCATTATCTGTTAATAAAACTATTGTATTATTTTAACTGGCTATGAAGCAAAGGGATATATGCAAGTAAGCTTTAAATGGAAGAGGGACATAATTAGAAAGTAAAACCTTGGCATAAGTGTGCCTGGAAGGTAACGGGAAAAGGAACATACTGACAAAAAGGAAAAACATTTAAGGAACAATAGAAATATTGCCAAATGAAGAAAATTGCCTAATTCATAGCTTTGCCCTGAACTGGTCTTATCAAACAGATCAATTTTCTATATATCTATTTTTTTTAACTCACAATTTCTCCCTTTAAATTTGGAAAGGATCACAGACATAAAACAAAATAATTGATTTGTTCAGAGAACTTTCTCCTTTAGAGTAGAAAGTCCACACATTTTTGAAGTTTCATTTTCACTATATTAACCATTTGTTAGAAATGCATAATTTTTCTAGATATTTTTTTCTAAAAGTTGTGGTTGCCTCCCCAGTTTTAACTACAAACACTTGTGTTGAAAAGTATCTCCCCAAAAGTTATGTGGTTCTTCCATCTGACAGATAAATCAATATGATTTCATAAAATGTCTTCCTAATTAACAATGAACTACCCTATGAACAAAATTATGACAATGTAATACAGAAGTGTCTGTAGATCATTAAAAATTTTCAAATGAACACTGTTACAAAAATAAAAAGACATGGAAGCTAACAGAAATTCTGAATCAATCACATTTATTTCCACAGAGTTGAAAATTGCATGGAAGCAATTCCAAACCATTTCCTCATACAGAAAACAAAAATTGAAACTTGAGACAGGACTGTGCTTCTAAGGTCTCCAATGCAATATGGGCATTTCAATAAAGCCCCATGATCCCCAGAATCAAAAGCTATAATGGGGATCAAGAAGAATTAAAATGGGTGGTTTGTCAGAAAGAATCTACCTACAACATAAGGCCATTATACACCTGATTCTCTTATTAAAGCAATCTCCTAAGCCTGATCTGAGCCTGTGGGTGGTGTATGAAGTGCATTTCATTAATGCATTACCAAGAAGCTGATTAAGACAATGGCTATGCCACTGTAGACTTAGGAAAGACTAGAGTGACCAAAACAACCACGGGTTTGGAAGACTTTGCGACTATCACTAGAGCTCAGATTTCAGAGAACATTACAACAACGTATCCTAAATTACAGAGTTGGTATCTTTCTTGCATTCAACATATAGGGCCCACCTCTGTTTCAACCTACCTGCAACTTTCAGCTCCCTTTCCTGCTTGCAAATATTATAAGAAAAACCTGAAATGGATTCTTTGAAGGCTTTGAAATTTTTGACTTTTCAAAATTCTAATATAAATATTTCTTAATAAGACACTAAAGTATGAAAGAGAGTATCCTGGGTGCTTCTTATAAGCTTTGGAATGTTGTTTACATCTCTGAGAAGTTTTAGATGTCCTTACAGTAGTTCTCCAAAGAAAAGCAATAATTTAATATCAAGTAAATATAAATGAAATGTGTAAGTCTAGGTTACTCACTGAAAACAGTCATGCTTAGAGGACAAGTCATCAAGATGGCTCCCTACCACACCCAGCACTTGTCTCCTTCACAAAGAAAGAACAACAACAAAATAGATAACCACATATCCAGAAAACCACACAGTGTCTAGGAGAGAACACTGGAATTTAGCAAAGAAATGACAAAGACCCAGTGTGGCATGGTGACTCAGGATAGCAGCATAGAGAAAGAAATAAAGCACCTGGCCAGGATCAACTCAGACCCAAGAGGGACTCCCTACTGCAAGGAAAAGGTAAGCAGGAGATCCCCAAGTGTCCATATATCAATCACGAACATCTGAATTCTAACTACCTGAGAGTCCCACAACCCTTGTAGGGATTAAGCACAGTATACGGAGCTTCCAGAGAAATAATTCATAATGGGTCCCCCCACTCCATCACCCATAACTTAGACTGCTGCAGAATGTCACCATTTTAAAAGTAGAGCCACCACCAAAGTCCATCCTACCATGGGGCCCAATTGCCCCTACATCTCCACAAGTAGAAAAAATAAAAAAGAATGAAGAATGAAGAAAGCCTACAAGACATATGGGACACAATGATGTGAACAAAATCTGACATTATGAGAGTTGCAGAAGGAGAAGAGGTGAAAAAAAGGCATAGAAAATCTATTTAATGAAGTAATCACTGAAACCTCCCAAGTATTGAAAGAGATACGGACATCCAGGTACAAGAAGTTGAAAGATACCAAAATATATTCAATCCAAAAGTCCCTCTCCAAGGCACATTATAGTAAAACTGAAAAGTCAAAGACAAAGACAGAATTCTAAAAATAGCAAGGGAAAAGCATCAAGTGATATATAAGGGAATCTCCATCAGAATAAGAGCAGATTTCTCAGCAGAAATCTTACAGGCCAAAAGAGATGGGAAAATATATTCAAAGTGTGGAAACCAAACCAAACAAAAATGTCAGACAAGAATGTTATACCCAGCAGAACCATCTTAAAGGAATGAAGAAAAAGAAGTCATTCCCAGACAAGCAAAAACAGGAAATTTATTATCATTAGACCAGCCCTACCAGAAATGCTTAAAGGAAACCTACATCTAGAAGCAAAAACTGAATATTTGCCATTATAAAAACACCTAAAAGAATAAGACTCACTGGCACAACAGATAAACGTACGAGAAAGAGAAAGGAATCAAACATATCACTACAGAAAACCAATAAACTACAAAGATAAACAAAAAGAGAGGAATAAAGAAGCACAGGATACACAAACCAACTAGAAAACAATTCACAAAATGACAGGAGTAGGTCCTTACTTATTATTACCAACCTTGAATGTAAAGCAGTTATAGTCTCCAATTAAAAGATATAGACTGGCTGCATGAGTTAAAAAATAAACAAGACCCAACTATATGCTTCCTATAAGAAACTCTGTTTACCATAAAGACCACATAAGATTGAAAGTGAAGGAATGGAATAAAATATTCCTCACAAACAGATGCCAAAGGCACACAGAAAAAGATATATTTATACCAGATAAAATATATTATAAACAAAGAAACATAAAAAGGGATGAAGATCATTACATAATGACAAAAAGATCAATTCAGCAAGAAAATATAAAATTAAAAATATATATGCACCCAACATAAGAGTACCCAAATATACAAAGAGTGTATTATTAGAGCTAAATATAAAGATAGACCCCAGTATAATAATCGCTGGGAACATCAACACCCCCACTGTCAGCATTTAGACAGAAAACAAACAAATATCATAATTAAATTACATTATAAACCAAATGGACCTAACAAACATTTACAGAACATTTCAACCAACTATTGCAAAATGCACATTCTTCCCATCAGCCTGTGGAACATTCTCAAGGATAGACCATAGGTTAAGGCTCAAGAAATTTTAAAAAAATCAAAATTATGTCAGATATCTTTTCAGACCACAATGGTGCTCTGGTTTTTATAATAGCCATTCTAACTGGGATAAGACAATATCTTATTGTGGTTTTGATTTGCATTTTGTATCTTCCTCCAGATACTCTAGGTCATCACTCTTAAGTTCAGCCTTCCACAAAGACCCAGGACATGGACACAATGCAGCCAAGTTATTTTACGTGGGTGAACAAGGGTGACATTTGATTCAGTTATTGATAAGTTCCTCATTTCTATATCAGCATGGCTTTACTATCTATATTTCTATCAGCATTTTGTTCACAACCACTTAATCAATATCTAAGTAGTTACAAAATTTCCCTCACCTTTTAATTTTTTTCTAATCCTTCCAAATTTTCTACCTCTGCCTATTACCCAGTTCCAAAACTGCTTCCACATTTTCAGGTATCTTTATAGCAACACCCCACTCCTCAGTACCAATTTACTGTCCTAGTCCATTTGCATTGCTGTAAAGGAACGTTTGAGACTGGGTAATTAATAAAGAAAAGAGGTTTATTTGCTCATAGTTATACAGGATATATAAGAAGCATGATGCTGCAATCTCCTCAACTTCTCATGAGGGCCTCAGGCTGCTTCCACTCATGGTGGAAGGTTAAGAGAAGCTGGCATGTGCAGAGATCACATGGCAAGAGAGGAAGCAAGAGAAAGAGAGAGAAGGAGGAAGTACCAGGCTCTTTATAACAACCAGCTCTCACAGGAACTAATAGAATGAAAACTAACTCATTATTGTGAGGATGCCCCTAGGCCATTCATGAGGAATCTGACCCCATGACCCAAACGTCGTCTCCCATTAGGCCCAATCTCCAACACTGGGAATCAAATTTTAACATGAATTTTGGTGGGACAAGCACCCAAAATATAGCACCCTGATTTGATCATTACATATTGTATACATGTATTAAAATATTACTTTGTACCTCATAAATATGAATAATTTATTATACTTCAATTAAAAATATAATTTTAAAAATAATATGATAATTTTTAAAAAGAAAATTAATCATGCTTAGATTTAAGAGTTAAGGATCTTCTGTCTGTTGAGGTTCCTGCAAATAGGATTTTCATCTGTTTTGTTAGTTCCTTCTAGACCCTACTAGCAGATTAATAAAGTACACATCACTCACACTATCATAACATGTGACTTTGACCAGTTTCTGTTATACCTATGCAAATGTGGTGTATTGACAATTAAAAGTGTACTTAAAATACATATTTAGATGATAGAGTAGTGATGTCAGCAAGATGGCAGAACAGAAGTTTTCAGTGCTTGTCCTCTTACAGAAACATCAATTTGAAAAATTATGCACACACAAAAATACCTTCTCAAAAGCTAAGGAACCTAGGTAAGAGATTACAGCACATGGGTAGGGTAAATAAATAATAAAAGACACACTGAAGAGGGTAAAAAGGACTGTTTCATATTACTCATATAATCCCTTCTCCAATACAGGCAGCACAGTGCAGAGAGAGATACTTTTATAAGGGGGAAGGAGTGTAAAATTAGAAACAAACTCCACCATGTACCCCATCATGAGGCCTCTCCCAGTGAACTGACTGTAGGCCAGCCCCTGAGGATCAAGACTCAGGCCCACCCCAGCACCAGACCAGCCTCCATGGCCCCAGGTTTTAGGCCAGACCCTAAAGCCTCAGGACCAGGGCCTACCCTTGAGTACTCAGGCTTCAAGCCCACCCCAGTACTAGGCTGGCCTTCACAGACTGAGGTTCAGAGTCTGCCTCAGTGCTGAGCTGTTGGACCCTGTGAACCCAGACCTCAGGCCTGCCCCTACAGATCCAAACTTCAGGCCCACCCAAGTGGACCCTAATGCCAGGCTATCTCTTGTGGACCCAGGATCTGGCCTGAACTGAAAGACCCAGATTCCAGGCCTATTACTGTGAACCCAGGAGCTAGACCCTCTCACATAGACACAAGCTTCACATTACATTCACCACTGTGGGTCCAAACACCAAGCCTGCCCGGTTACCAGGACATCCCCTGTGGAGCCAGGAGCCAGACCCATCCACCTACTGATGCAGGGACTAGGCCAGAAAGTTCTAAAAAAACAGCAGCAAGTCTCCCTGTGAACCCTGCCAGTGAGCCCAATCAGTAGCTCTAGATGGGCTGACTAGCGAAGTGATTTCCCTATGAAAGCCATTGCGTAAAGACTGTAAGAGGTGCTTACTTTTTCAAATGCACAGACACAAATGTAAGGCCACGAGGACCACAAGTAATCAGGGAAACATGACACCACAGAGGAAAAAAATGTAAGCACCATCAGTAACCAACTCTAAAGAAATAGAAATTTATGAAAAGCCCAACAAAGAATTCAAAATAATTATCTTAAAGAAGCGCAGTGAGCTACAAAACACAGACAAGTAAACAGTATCAGGAAAACAATAAAAGAACAAAATTAGTCCAATAAGAGAGAGAACCTATTAAAAAACAACAGGAATTCTGAAGCTGAAGAACATGACTGAACTGAAGATTTTCATAATTTCAACAGCTGATTCAATCAAGCAGGAGAAAGAAGCAGAGAGCTTAAAGACAGGTCATTTGAAATTACTAAATTAGAGGGAAAAAAAAAGAGAATAACAAAAAAACAAGAAAACTCATGGAACTTATGAGATATCATCATGAAAACAGATGTATGCATTATGGGAGTCCTACAAGGAATGAAGAAAAAGAAAAGAGCAGAATGTTTATTTAAAGATGTAATGACAGAGAGCTTCCCAAACCTGAAGAGAAAATGAACATTCAGTTCTATGAAGACCAAAGAATGCCAAATAGATTAAGCAGAAGGTGTTTACTAAGGTAAATTATAATCAAATTCAAAAAGGTCAAAGACAAAGATAATTTTAGAAGCAACAACAAAATGTGACCCATCTATTACAAGGGAACACCCATAAGATCATCAGTAGGTTTCTCATCAGAGACCTTGCAGGCCAAGAGAGAATGTGATGACACATTCAAAGTACTGAAAGGAATAAAGTGCCAATAGAAATACTATACCTGGCAAAGCTGACTTTCAGAAATGAAAGAGAGATTAAAATTTTCCAAGAGAAACAAAAGCTGAGGAAATTCCCCACTAGACCTGCTTTACATGAAATGATAAAGATATTCAAGTTGAAACAAAAGGACACTAAATAACTACATGAAAACAAATGAAAATATAAAATTTTCTGTAAAGGTAAGAGCATATTCAGATTCAAAATACTATAATACTCTAATGGTGGTGCATTATACTCTTATAAAAGTTAAAAGACGAAAGTAATAAAAATAAATAATTTGTTAATGGATACACAATATAAAAATATGTAAATTGTAACATTAATAAATAAGATATGCAGTGAGGAAAAGTTAATGTAGAGTTTTATGTGCGGTCAAAATTAAGTTAATATCACATTAAAATAGACTGTTATAACTATAAGTTGGTATATGTAAGCCTGATGGTAACCACAAATAAACCTGTAGTAGATAAAAGATAAAAAGAAAATAACTGGCTGGGCAGAGTGGCTCACGCCTGAAACTCCAACACTTTGGGAGGCCGAGGTGGGGAAAGATCACGAAGTCAAGAGATAGAGACCATCCTGGCTAACACGGTGAAACCCTGTCTCTAATAAAAATACAAAAATCAGCTGGGCGTGGTGGTGCACACCTGTAGTCTCAACTACATTGGAGGCTGAGGCAGAAGAATTGCTTCAACCCAGGAGGCAGAGGTTGCAGTGAGCCAAGATCACACCATTGCACTCTGGCCTGGCAACAGAGCGAGAATCTGTCTCAAAAATAAAAAATAAAATAAAAAAATAACATTTTAATATATACTAGTATTATATATTAACATTCTATATGAATAATAACATTATATAATTACTTTATATACTGAATTGGGAGGAAAATTTAAGAGTTTATCTGATGGCAAGACTGGTTTTTAATCAATGGCAATCATTGGGATTTTAGCAGGAGAAAACCTGAGGTAAATGGGAAAAAAATGTTTGCTAATAGAGCTCTGTCTCCAAACAATCACAAGAAAAGTCGCTGCGAAAGGTTTAAATGGAGAATAATACTCCTGAATACAAAAGTGAGAGTCAACAGTCATTGTAGGTCAGGATCAACAACACAGAAGTAGGAACCATTCAAGAGTTTTATTGAGTTTCTAATTAAATGAGAAAAATATTCACATCTATTGATATTTCTTTCACAAATCACAGATCATCATTTTCTATGTTAAATTTTTAAAATGAGATGAATATACATTACAAATTAATTTACCTTATTAATATTTTGTGCTATTATTAAGAAAATGGGTAAGAATAACTGTTTTAAAAAGATAGCAACACACTTAATTAGGTTAGGCTAAAATTAAAGGTAGAAGTAATTTCCAAAAAAAAAAAAACCCACAAATAATGAACCACAGGAAAAAGAAAAATAAGTTCTCTGAACAAAAAAAGGAATTGCTGTGCCTAGAGTAGCCACCAAAGACTGTTAAGACAAGATAATAAAAGAATCGTATTTATTGTATTACATGAGATGGGTAGGAGCAAAGGGATTTTTTTTTAATTACACTTTAAGTTCTAGGGTACATGTGCACAATGTGCAGGTTTATTATATAGGTATACATGTGCCATGTTGGTTTGCTGCAACCATCAACTCATCATTTACAATAGGTATTTTTCCTAATGCTATCCCTCCCCTAGCCCCCCACCCCACGACAGGCCCTGATGTTGATGTTCCCCACCCTGTGTCCATGTTTTCTCATTGTTCAACACCCATCTATGAGTGAGAACATCCGGTGTTTGTTTTTCTGTCCTTGTCATAGTTTGCTAAGAATGATGGTTTCCAGCTTCATCCATGTCCCTGCAAAGGATATGAACTCATCCTTTTTTAGGGCCACATAGTATTCCGTTGTGTATATGTGCCACATTTTCTTAATCCAGTCTATCATTGATGGATATTTGGGTTGGTTCCAAGTCTTTCCTATTGTGAATAGTGTCACAATAAACATACATGTGTATGTGTCTTTATAGCAGCATGATTTATAATTCTTTGAGTATATACCCAGTAATGGGATGGCTGGGTCAAATGGTATTTCTAGTTCTAGATCCTTGAGGAATCACCACACTGTCTTCCACAGTGGTTGAACTAGTTTACAGTCCCACCAACAGTGTAAAAGTGTTCCTATTTCTCCACATCCTCTCCAGCATCTGTTGTTTCCTGACTTTTTAATGATTGCCATGCTAACTGGCGTGAGATGGTATCTCATTGTGGTTTTGATTTGCATTTCTCTAATGGCCAGTGATGATGAGCATTTTTTCAAATGACTGTTGGTTGCATAAATGACTTCTTTTGAGAACTCTTTGTTCATATCCTTTACCCACTTTTTGATAGGGTTGCTTGTTTTTTTCTTGTAAATTTGTTTGAGTTCTTTGTAGATTCTGAATATTAGCCCTATGTCAGATGGGTAGATTGCAAAAATTTTCTCCCATTCTATAGGTTGCCTGTTCACTCTGATGGTAGTTTCTTTTGCTGTGTAGAAACTCTTTAGTTTAATTAGATCCCATTTGTCTACTTGGCTTTTGTTGCCATTTCTTTTGGTGTTTTAGTCATGAAGCCTTGGCCCCATGCCTATGTCCTGAATGGTATTGCCTAGGTTTTCTTCTAGGGTTTTTATGGTGTTAGGTCTTACATTTAAGTCTTTAATCCATCTTGAGTTAATTTTTGTATATGGTGTAAGGAAGGGATCTAGTTTCAGCTTTCTACATATGGCTAGCCAGTTTTCCCAGCACCGTTTATTAAATAGGGAATCCTTTCTCCATTGCTTGTTTTTGTCAGGTTTATCAAAGATCAGATGATTGTAGATGTGTGATGTTATTTCTGAGGCCTCTGTTCTGTTCCATTGGTCTATATATCTGTTTTGGTACCAGTACCATGCTGTTTTGGTTGCTGCAGCCTTGTAGTATAGTTTGAAGTCAGACAGCATGATGCCTCCAGCTCTGTTCTTTTGGCTTAGGATTGTCTTGGCTATGTGGGCTCTTTTTTGGTTCCATATGAACTTTAAAGTAGTTTTTCCAATTCTATGAAGAAAGTCAGTGGTAGCTTGATGGGGATAGCATTGAATCTATAAATTATCTTGGACAGTATGGCGAGTTTCACAATATTGATTCTTCCTATTCATGAGCATGGAATGTTCTTCCATTTGTTTGTATCCTCTTTTATTTCATTGAGCACTGGTTTGTAGTTCTCTTTGAAAAGGTCCTTCACATCCCTTGTAAGTTGGATTCCTAGGTAATTTATTCTCTTTGTAGTAGTTGTGAATGGGAGTTCACTCATGGTTTGGCTCTCTTCTGTTATTGGTGTATAGGAATGCTTGTGATTTTTGCACATTGATTTTGTATCCTGAGACTTTGCTGAATTTGCTTATCAGCTTAAGGAGATTTGGGTCTTAGACAATGGGGTTTTCTAAATATACAATCATGTCATCTGCAAACAGGGACAATTTGACTTCCTCTTTTCCTAATTGAATACCTTTATTTCTTTCTCTTTCCTGATTTCCCTAGCCAGAACTTCCAACACTATGTTGAATAGGAGTGGTGAGAGAGGGCATTCTTGTCTTGTGCCAGTTTTCAAAGGGAATGCTTCCAACTTTTGCCCATTCGGTATGATATTGGCTGTGGTTTTTTCATAAACAGCTCTTATTATTTTGAGATATCTTCCATCAATACCTAGTTTATTGCAGCCTTTTAGCATGAAGGCTGTTGAATTTTTTTCAGAGGCCTTTTCTGCATCTATTGAGATAATCATGTAGTTTCTGTCATTGGTTTTGTTTATGTGATGGATTACATTTATTGATTTGCATATGTTGAACCAGCCATTCATCCCAGAGATGAAGCTGACTTGATCATGGTTGATAAGCTTTTTGATGTGCTGCTGGATTCCGTTTGCCAGTGTTTTATTGAGGATTTTCACATTGATGTTCATCAGGGATATTGGCCTAAAATTCTCTTTTTTCATTGTGTCTCTGCCAGGCTTTGGTATCAGGATGATGCTGGCCTCATAAAATGAGTTAGGGAGGATTCCCTCTTTTTCTATTGATTGGAATAGTTTCAAAAGGAATGGTACCAGCTCTTCTACCTGTGGTAGAATTCGGCTGTGAATCCTTCTGGTCCTGGACTTTTTTTTGGTTGGTAGGCTATTAATTATTGCCTCAATTTCATAACCTGTTATTGGTCTACTCAGGGATTCAACTTCTTCCTGGTTTAGTCTTGGGGGGTATATGTGTCCAGGAATTTATCCATTTCTTCTAGATTTTCTAGTTTATTTGCATAGAGGTATTTATAGTATTCTCTGATAGTAGTTTGTATTTCTGTGGGTTCAGTGGTGATATCCCCTTTATCATTTTTATTGCATCTATTTGACTCTTCTCTCTTTTCTTCTTTGTTAGTCTTGCTAGCAGTCTATCTATTTTGTTGATCATTTTAAAAAAACAGTTCCTGGATTCATTAAGTTTTTGAAGGTTTTTTTGTGTCTCTATCTCCTTCAATTCTGCTCTGATCTTAGTTATTTCTTGCCTTCTGCTAGCTTCTGAATTTGTTTGCTCTTGCGTCTCTAGTTCTTTTAATTGTGATGTTAGGGTGTCAATTTTAGATCTTTCCTGTTTTCTCTTGTGGGCATTTAGTGCTATAAATTTCCCTCTACACACTGCTTTAAATGTGTCCCAGAGATTGTGGCACATTGTGTCTTTGTTCTCATTGGTTTCAAAGAACATCTTTATTTCTGCCTTTATTTCTTTATTTACCCAGTAGTCATTCAGGAGCAGGTTGTTCAGTTTCCATGTAGTTGTGTGGTTTTGAGTGAGTTTATTAATCCCAAGTGCTAATTTGATTGCACTGTGGTCTGAGAGACAGTTTGTTGTGATTTCTGTTCTTTTACATTTCCTGAGGTGTGCTTTACTTCCAATTATGTGGTCAACTTTAGAATAAATGCTGAGAAGAATGTATATTCTGTTGATTTGGGGTATAGAGTTCTGTAGTTGTCTATTAGGTCCACTTGGTGCAGAGGTGAGTTCAAATTCTGGATATCCTTGTTAACCTTCTGTCTCGTTGATCTGTCTAATGTTGACAGTGGGGTATTAAAGTCTCCCATTATTATTGTGTGGGAGTTTAAGTCTCTTTGTAGGTCTCTAAGGACTTGCTTTATGAATCTGGATGTTCCTGTACTGGGTGCATGCATATTTAGGATAATTAGCTGTTCTTGTTGAATTGATCCTTTTACCATTATGTAGTGGCCTTCTTTGTCTCTTCTAATCTTTGTTGGTTTAAAGTCTGTTTTATCAGAGACTAGGATTGCAACCCCTGCTTTTTTTTGCTTTCCATTTGCTTGGTAGATCTTCCTCCATCCCTTTATTTTGAGCCTATGTGTGTCTCTGCACGTGAGATGGGTTTCCTGAATACAACACACTGATGGGTCTTGACTCTTTATCCAATTTGCCAGTCTGTGTCTTTTAATTGGGGCATTTAGCCTATTTATATTTAAGGTTAATACTGTTATGTGTGAATTTGATCCTGTCATTATGATGTTTGCTGGTTATTTTGCTGATTAATTGATGCAGTTTCTTCATAGCGTCGATGGTCTTTACAATTTGGCATGTTTTTGCAATGGCTGGTACCAGTTGCTCCTCTCCATGTGTAGTGCTTCCTTCAGGAGCTCTTGTAAGGCAGGCCTGGTGGTGACAAAATCTCTCAGCATTTGCTTGTCTGTAAAGGATTTTATTTCTCCTTCACTTATGAACCTTAGTTTGGCTGGATATGAGATTCTGGATTGAAAATTCTTTAAGAATGTTGAATATTGGTCCCCACTCTCTTCTGGCTTGTAGGGTTTCTGTAGAGAGATCTGCTGTTAGTCTGATGGGATTCCTTTTGTGGGTAACCCAACCTTTCTCTCTGGCTGCCCTGAACATTTTTTCATTCATTTGAACCTTGGTGAATCTGACAATTATGTGTCTTGGAGTTGCTCTTCTCGAGGAGTATCTTTGTGGTGTTCTCTGTATTTCCTGAATTTGAATGTTGGCCTGCCTTGCTAGGTTAGGGAAGTTCTCCAGAAAATATCTTGAACAGTGTTTTCTAACTGCATTCCATTCTCCCCATCACTTTCCAGTACACCAATCAGATGTATATTTGGTCTTTTCACATAGTCCCATATTTCTTGGAGGCTTTGTTCATTTCTTTTCACTTTTTTTCTCTAATCTTGTCTTCTCGCTTTATTTCATTAATTTGATCTTCATTCACTGATATCCTTTCTTCCACTTGATCGAATTGGCTATTGAAGCTTGTGCATGCGTCACAAAATTCTCGTGCTGTGGTTTTCAGCTCCGTCAGGTCATTTAAGGTCTTCTCTACACTGTTCATTCTAGTTAGCCATTCATCTAACCTTTTGTCAAGATTTTTAGCTTCCTTATGATGGTTAGAACATGCTCCTTTAGCTCAAAGAAGTTTGCTATACCCACTTTCTGAAGCCTACTTCTGTCAATTCGTCAAACTCATTCTCCATCCAGTTTTGTTCCCTTGCTTGCGAGGAGCTGTGATCCTTTGGAGGAGAAGAGGTGCTCTGGTTTTTGGAATTTTCACCTTTTCTGCTCTGGTTTCTCCCCATCTTTGTGGTTTTATCTACATTTGGTCTTCAATGTTGGTAACCTACAGATGGGGTTTTGGTGTGGATGTCCTTTTGTTGATGTTGATGCTATTCCCTTGTCTTTGTTAGTTTTCCTTCTAACAGTCAGGCCCCTCAGCTGCAGGTCCATTGGAGTTTGCTGGAGGTCCACTCCAGACACTGTTTGCCTGGATATCACCAGTGGAGGCTGCAGAACAGCAAATATTGCTGCCTGATCCTTCCTCTGGAAGCTTCATCCCAGAGGGACACCCGCACATTTGAGGTGTCTATTGGCCCCTACTGGGAGGTGTCCCCCCGTCAGGCTACAGGGGGGTCAGGGATCCACTTGAGAAGGCAGTCTGTCTGTTCTTGGAGCTCGAATGCTATGCTGACAGAACCACTGCTCTCTTCAGAGCTGTCAGACAGGGACGTTTAAGTCTCCAGAAGCTGTCTGCTGCCTTTTGTCCTGCTATGCCCTGCCCCCAGAGGTGGAATATAGAGAGGCAGTAGTCTTTGCTGAGCTGCCGTGGGCTCCACCCTGTTCAAGATTCCCAGTCACTTTGTTTACACTGTGAGCTACTCAACCCTCAGCAATGTTGGATGCCCCCTCCCCCCATCAAGCCTCAGTGTCGCAGGTAGATCTCAGACGGCTGCACTAGCAGTGAACAAGGCTCCGTGGGCATGGGACCTGCTGAGCCAGACACGGGAGGGTATCTCCTGGTCTGCCTGTTGCTAAGACCATGGGAAAAGCGCAGTATTTGGTTAGGAGTGTACCTTTTATCCAGGTACAGTCTGTCACTGCTTCCCTTGGCTAGGAAAGGGAAATCCCCTGACCCCTTGCACTTCCTGGGTGAGGTGATGCCCTGCCCTGATTCAGCTTACCCTCCATGGGCTGCATCCACTGCCAACCACTCCTAGTGAGATGAACCAGGTACCTCAGTTGGAAATGCAGAAATCACCCAACTTCTGTTTCGATCTCGCTGTGAGCTGCAGACCAGAGCTGTTTCTATTTGGCCATCTTGGAAGCAATCCCCCATCAGAGCAAAGGGATTTTAAGGCTTTGAGGATGATGGATGATTTGAGAGACATAGGAAAAGAATCTTTGTAGTGACCAGATTTTGCATCATTTTAAAGAACGCCATTAAAACTAGCCCATAATGTGAACATGTGTATGGACATAACGGAATCACTCCCACACAGGAATCAATTTGTACCAAGATGCCAATAATGGGTTGTAAGTTTAAAATATCTTCTGATTTCCAAACCATGGAGCTACTGAATTTTCAGAGAGTAGAGCCAAAAGACATCTTCACAGAACTACACAGGGCATGTCCATTGACATAAAACCACTACATTGCAAGGAATCATGGGGTGAACCCAAAAACCAGAAGCATTTTTCAAAAGATGTTCTGTCATGGTATCAGAAATTGGAATTAAATCCAAGATGGCCAACTAGATGTACCCAGGAAGAGCTTCTCTCATTGAGAGATACTAAAATATTGAGTAGGCCAGGATATTCTAAACAGACCTTCTGAGAGAAGACATTCAGAGTGAATAGAGAGAAGATGCAGACAATGGGGCTAAAGGGGAGGAAGCTAGAAACCCTACACAGGGTTGCCAAGGGCCAGAACTCATTCCTGGCCCTGCCTGGCTCCTAAGGAAGGAGTGAGTGAAATAACTTGAGTGGCCCACTCTCACTATGGACCTCTGGGATCCTAACTGAAGGAAGCCCCACAATCCCCATGGACATTTGAATTAGGAAGGGGAACTGCCCAGAGAGTCAGCAAAGACAGAACTAAAGTCTGTTCAGAGCCCAGAGAGTTTGGCATGGGGATAGCTTCAGTGGAACACAGCCATGTGTGACCATCCCCCAAAGTTCTCCATATTCCTCTAAGTGGCTTTTACCTTTGTTAACTACCAGACCTAGAGAGAGCAGGGCTGTTTTTCCCATGGAACTGGGGTGAGTCTGAGATGAGTGGCCTCCTGTCTGCTGGCGCCTCCCAGGGTTCCTGCACAGGGTTCAGCACAGCCTTGAATGTTCTGCCAGAGTACTTTTGCCAGTGGCCACCACAATAGCACTTTCACCAGCAGCCCCAGACATCATGCTGGAGCACTTTAGCCGATGACCTCTCACCAAAGCACTTTAATTTGTGACCCGCCCCCAAAACCCTGCCGGAGCACTTTTGCCCACAGATCCCCTGCCAACCCTCTGGGGTGCTTTCACCTGCAGCTTCCCCCAAATTGTCAGAGTGCTTTCACCCAAGGACCCCCTGCCACACTATCAGAGCACTTTTGCCAGTGGCCTGCAATGGAGTACTGTTGCCAGTGGACTGGAAGAACCTTGGTACCTTCACCATATACAGTGCTTGACCACAAGGGGCCAGAAGAAAAAGCTACAGGCCTGGTTCTAGGCCCTGATGGTTAGAGTACACAGTCCAGGAGCTGAGCCTTGGCCCTCTGAAAGCATACAGAAGTGAAGCCAATCAAGGAAATCCAACTTATACTACTGTCAAACCCTTGAGGGCATTAAAGAACATGAAAACAAGAAGCCCTACCCAAAGGGCAGAAATTTCAAAGATTAAAGGAAATGAGCCCACAAAGATGAGAAAAAACAGTGCAAGAAATCTGGCAATTCTAAAAGCTAGAGTGTCTTCTTCCCTGCAAACAATTGCACTAGATCCCCAGCAAGGATTTGTAACCATATTGAAATAGTTGCAATGACAGACATATAGTTCAGAATCTGGATGACAAGGAACTCAAGGAGATACAGGAAAAGGTTGAAACCCAATCCAAGGAAGAGTAAAACAATCCAAGAGTTGAAAGATGACATAAGCATTTTAGAAGGAACCAAACAAATTCTGGAATTGAAAAAATCACTACAGGAATTTCCTAATAGAGTTGGAAGCATTAAAAACAGAATACACCACGCCAAGGAAAGAATCTCAGATCTCAGAGACTGCTCCTTCAAATCTACACAGGCAGACAAAAATTAAAAAAAAAAAAGAATTCTAAAAACCTCCAGGATATATGGGATTATCTAAAGAGACCAGACCAACCACCCATTGGCATTTCTGAGAGAGAATGACAAAGAGTAAGCAACTTGCAAAGCATATTTAAGGATATAGTCCATGAAACTTGTCGAAATCTTTCTAGAGAGGTTGACATGAAAACTCAAGAAATTCAGGAAACCCCTGTGAAATAATATACAATACAACCATCCCCAAGACAAATAGTCATCAGATTCTTCAAGGTTAATGCAAAAGAAAAATTCTTAAAGGCAGCTAATGAGAAGGGGTAGGTCACTTACAAAAGGAATGCCATCAGGCTAACAGCAGACTTTTCAGTAGAAACCTTACAAGCCAGAAGAGATTGAGGGCCTATTTTCAGCATTCCTAAAAAAAATAAATTTTAACCAAGAATTTAATATCTTGCCAAACTAAGCTTCATAAGTGAAAGAGAAATGATATCCTTTCCATACAAGCAAATGCTAAGGGAATGCATCAGCACTAGACATGCCTTACAAGAAGTCTTTAACGGAATGTTAAACATGAAAAAGAAAGACTGATACCTGCCACCATAAAAACACACTTAGTACATAGCTTACTGACACTATAAAGCAACCATACAATCAAGTCTACATAAAAATAAGCTAACAACACAATGACAGAATCAAATTCTCACAGCCAGGTGTGGTGGCTCACACCTGTTATCCTAGCACTTTGTGAGGCCAAGGCAGACAAATCACTTGAGGCCAGGAATTTGAGACCAGCCTGGCCAACACAGTGAAACCCTGTCTCTACTAAAAATAGAAAAAATTAGCTGGACATGGTGGTGCATGCCTGTAATCCTAGTTACTTGGGAGGCTGTGGCGTGAGAATCACTTGAACCTGTGAGGTGGAAGTTGCAGTGAACAGAGATCATTTCACTGCACTCTAGCCTGGGCAAGAGAGTGAGACTCTGCCTTGAAAAAAAATACCGAATTCTCACATATTAATATTGATCTTGAATGTAAATGGCCTAAATGCCCTACTTAAAAGGCACAGAGTGGCAAGTGGGATAATGAGACAAGACCTAACTAACTGTCTTCCACCTTCAAAAGATCCATCTCACATGCAATGACATCCATTCGCTAAAAGTAAAGGGATGGAGAAAGATCTATCAGGCAAATGGAAAAGAAAAAAAGAGCAGGGCTTGCTAATCTTAGACAAAAAAGACTTTAAGCCAACAATGATCAAAAAGGACAAATAAAGATAAATTGTTCAATTCAACAGGAAGACTTAACTATCATAAATATACATGCAAACAACATTGGAGCACCCAGGTTCATAAAACAAGTTCTTAGAGACCTACAAAGAGACTTACATAACCAAACAGTAACAGTAGGAGACTTCAGCACCCCAACTGACAGTGTGAGACAGCAGATCAATGAGGCAGAAAACTAACAAAAACATTCAGGACTTAAATTTGACGCTTGACCTAATGGATCTAATAGACATCCACAGAATACTGCACCCTAAAACTACAGAATACACCTTCTTCACATCTGCACATGGCATATACTCTGACATTGACCACATGCTTAGTCATAAAGTAAGTCTCAACAAATTCAAAAAGTAGAAATCATACCAACTACACTCTCAGACCACAGTGTAATAAAAATAGAAATCAATACCAAGAAAATTTCTCAAAACCATAAGATTACATGTAAATGAAACAACATGCTCCTGAATGACTTTTCGGTAAAACATGAAATTAAGGTTGAAATAAAAAAATTCCTTGAAACTAATGAAAACAAAGACACAGCTTACCAGAATTTCTAGGACATATAGTTAAAGCAGTATTAAGAGGACAGTTTATAGCACTTAACACTTACATCAAGAAGTTAGAAAGATCTCAAACTAACAACTTAACATTGCACCTAGCGGCACTAGAAAAACAAGAGCAAACCAACCCCAAAGCTAGCACAAGAAAAGAAATAACCTAAATCAAGCTGAACTGAATGAAATTGAGATGTGAAAATCCATAGAAATGATCAACAAAACAAAAATTAGGTCTTTGAAAGAATAAACAAGATTGATAGGCTTCTAACTAGACTAATAAAGGAAAAAAGAGAGAAGATCCAAATAAGCACAATCAGATATGACAAAAGTGACATTACCACCAATGCCACAGAAATATAAAAAACCCTCAGAGACTATTATGAACACCTGTATGCACACTAACTAGAAAACCTAGAAGAAATGGATAATTCCTGGAAACATACAATCTCCCAAGATTCAACTAGGAAGAGGTTGAAATCCTAAACAGACCAATAATGAGTTCTGAAATTGAATCAGTAAAAAAAACTACCAATGAAAAAAGCCCTGTAACAGATGGATTCACAGCCTAATTCTACCAGACATACAAAGATAAACTAGTATCACTCTTACCAAAATTATTCCAAAATATCACGAAGGAGGGACTCCCGGCAACTCATTCTGTGAAGCCAGCATCATTCTGATAACAAAACCCGACAGAGACAAAATGAAAAAAAGAAAACTTCAGGCCAATATGCCTGATGAACGTAGATAAAAATATCCTTAAAAAATACTAGAAAACCAATTCTAACAGCACATCAAAAAGTTTATTCATGATGATTAAGTAGGCTTTATTCCTGGAATGTAAGATTGGTTCAACATATAAAAATCAATAAATGTAGCTGATACGATTTAGATCTGTGCTCCCACCCAAACCTCATGTCTAATAGTAATCCCCACTGTTGGAGGTAGGGTCTGGAGGAAGGTGATTGGATCATCGGAGCAGTTTCTAATGGTTTATCACCATCCCCCTAGTTCTGTCTCATGATAGAGTTTTCATGAGATCTGATTGCTTATAAGTGTGTAGAACCTCTTCCCCTTCTCTCTCTTCCTTCCGCTCCAGCCATGAGAACACATGCCTTCTCCCCCTTTGCCTTGTGCCATATTTGTAAGTTTCCTGAGGCCTTCCCATCTGTGCTTCCTATACAGCCTGCAGAACCATGAGCCAATTCAACCTCTTTTCTTGTTAAATTACCCAGCCTCGGGTATTTCTTTGTAGCAGTATGAGAACAAACTAATACGGTCACTCACCACATAAACAGAATTAAAAGCAAAAACCAAATGATTATCTCAATAGACACAAAGCTTTTGATAAAATTCAACATTCCTTTATGTTAGAAATCTTCAATAAGCTGGCATCAAAGGAACATACCTCAAAATAATACGAGCCATTTATTACAAACTCACAGCCAACATCATACTGAATGGGCAAAAGCTAAATACATTCCTCTTGATAGCTGGAACAAGAAAAGTAACCCCACTCTCACCACTTTTATTCAACATAGTAATTGAAGTCCTAGTCAGAACAACCAGGAAAGAGAAAGAAATAAAATGTATCCAAGAAGCAAGAGAGGAAGGCAAACTATCTCTCTTCACATATGATATCATTCTATTCCTACAAAACCCCATAGACTCAAAAAGGCTCCTAAAACTGATAAACAACCTCAGTAAACTTTCAGGATATGAAATTAATGTGCAAAAATCAGTAGCCTTTCTATACACCAATAATGTCAAACTGAGAGTCAAATAAAGAACATGATCCCATTTACAATATTCACAAAAAAATAAAGTACCTAGGAATACAGCTAATCAAAGAGGTGAAAGATCTCTACAATGAGAATTACAAGACACTGCTAAAAGAAATCAGAGACGACACAAGTGGAAAAACAATTTACAAATTCAATGCTATTCCTTTCAAATGTCCAATGTCATTTTATATAGAATTAGAAAAAAACAATCCTAATGTTTATATTAAACCCAAAAACAGCCTGACTAGGCAAAGTAATCTTAAGCAAAAAGAGCAAACCAGAGGCATGACACTTCCCAACCCCAAACTATACTAAAAGGCTACAGCAAACAAAACAGCATGGTACTGCTACAAAAACGGGCATGCAGACCAATGGAACAGATAGAGAATCCAGAAATAAGGCCTAACATTTACAACCATCTGATCTTCCATGAAGTTGACAATAACAGGCATTGTGGAAAAGACTCCATACTTAATGAATAGTGCTGTGATAACTGGCTAGTCATATGTGGAAGATTGAAACTGAACCCCTTCCTGTCACCATATATGAAAATCAACTCAAGATGAATTAAACTCTAAAATATAAGACCCAAAATTATAAAAACAATAGAAGAAAACCTAGAAAATACCTTTCTGGACATTGGCCTTCGCAAAGAATTTGTGACTAGGTCCCCAAAAGCAACTGTAACAAAAATTAAAATCGACAAGTGGGGCCTAATTAAATGAAAAAGCTTCTGCACAGCAAAAGAAACTATCAACAGAGTCAGCAGACAACTTAGAGAACGGGATAAAATATTTGCAAACTATCCATCTGACAAAGGTCTAATATCCAGAATCTATAAAGAACATAAATAAATCAACAAGCAAAAAAACATACATTCTCATTTTTAAAAAATGGGTAAAAGACATGAACAGACTTCTTAAAAGAAGACATACATGCAGCCAACAAATACATGGAAAAATGTTGAAACTCATTGATGACTAGAGAGATGTAAATCAAAACCACAGTGAGACACTATCTCACACCAGTCAGAATGGCGAATATTAAAAACTCAGAAAATAACAGATGTTGACAAGGTTGCAGAGAAAAGGGAATGCTTATACACTGCTGGTGGGAATGCAAATTAATACAGCCTTTGTGGAAACCAGTTTGGTGATTTCTCTAAGAACTTAAAAAAGAACTACTATTTAACTCAGCTATCCCACTATTGAGTATATACCCCAAGAAAAATAAATCATTCCACCAGGAAGACACACACACTCATATGTTCATTGCAGCACTATTCACAATAGCAAAGACAAGGAACCAATATAGGTACCCATCAATAGTGGAATGGATAAAAAAAACTGTGGTAAAAATACACCATGGAATACTGTGCAGCCATAAAAAAGAATGAGATCATGTCCTTTGCAGCAACATTGTTAGAGGTGGAGGCCATTATCATAAGCAAATTAGCACAGGAACACAAACCTGAATACTGCATGCTCTCACTTGCCAGAAGGAACTAAGCATTGAGTACACATGAACACAAAGATAGGAACAATAGACACTTGCAACTTCTTGAGGTGGGAGGGCAGGATCATGGGTTGAAAAACGACCTATCAGATACTATGCTCACTGCCTGGGTGACGGGATCATTTGTACACCATACCTAAATGACATAAAATATACCCATGTAACAACCCTGCACATGTGCCCCCTGAACCTGAAATAAAAGTTGAAAAAAACAGAAAAACTTATTCATGCATAAAAGGAAGTTTGTTAACAAAAAAAAAAAAAAAAAAAAAAAAAAAAAGAAATTGCAAAATCTCTGAAAACAAAAAGAGGAAGGATTCTCATCCAGGAGACTGGGCTGTGAAATAAGAACCCTCTATTCTAGTTAGTCCTTGATTTTGCTTTACCTGGATATATTTACCTAAAGCAGAAGTGGCTGACTGCTCACCTAGGCTTCAGCTCTCCTATAGGGTAGGGTTGTTGCTGAGAAAGGGGTGCCCAGCCGCAGGCTCCATTTCCCAGCACCCTTTTATGTAAGTGCCTATCTCACCAATGTGGGTATACATGACGTGTGTCACTTTCTAGCTGAAATGGTAAAGAAATAGATTTGCCTTCTTCTAAATTCTCTTTTTCATCATGTCAAAGCTCAGATATTCCCTGAAGGCACATGTTGAAGAATTCAGAGACTCTCACTGCCTGGGTTCTTGAATGATGTTTGGAACTCAACTTCCCCTCTCTCCCATTCTCCCTGGCTTGCCACCACCAAGGAATATCTGCATTATAATGTTACATAAGAAATAAGTAAACTATTTTGCTAAGTTACTCAAAATTTGGTGTTTGCTTATTGTAGCAGCTATCATTATCCTAACCAAATCACTTAATGTCTGTCTTGATCCATATCACATAGGTGGAATTCCATAAATAAATGTAGAATAAATAAATCTGTAAAATGGGGATATAACATCAGTCTTATCTACCGTGTTAACTTCTGCAGGGATAGAATTTAAAAAATAAAGATGAATATGTTTGAAAAAAAACTTTTAAAAGCTTATTCCAATACCTTCATTGATAGTACTTTTACTACCAGGAGAAAAGACAATAAAAATTCAAAATACATGTAGAAACATGAATATGAAGAAGTTTCTGTTTCTGTTTATAAAAAAGAGATATTTTTAGTGGAAACTACAAATAACAGCCCACTAAAATAGCTGGGTTTTAGTCAAGTGTGTTTTAGTGTACCAAAGAAAATGATTATAATTAATAAAATGAGCATTTGTGCAGGGTATGGAAATTTGCTGAAAAGCCACAAAGAGGACAGAGCAAATTGTAAAGTGTAGTAATGCAGGGAATCAGTGTTTAAGTCTTATACATTTGATATTATAAAGGGTCTAAAGTAGGATATAGGAAAGTTGCATCTTAATGACACTATTGATGATGTCAAATTATACTTTAATACTTCAGTGAGACATTATGAGACACCAGGAACAGGAAAGGAACAAAATGGAGGCTAAATTAAAAAGAAGCTAAGAAAATTATTTTCAAATTAGATAATGTAAGATTACACTTTGGGAAAATGAGACAGAACCTTCAATATCTCATGAGAAAATGCTAACAAATAATAAAAAATAAATAAAACCCACACATACAATAATACATAAGTAGAAGCTTCCATTTATTTTAAGCCAACTACCAAGATAGTTATTATTTCATTTTTCAGAATCAGAAAGTTAAATGAACTTTGCAGATAGATGATCAAGCAGTAATATATCTTGCAACTTTGCAATCCTATAAACTTTACATATATGTTCATGAAGTTAGGTTCAAAAACAAGTCATTGCTATCTCAATGTTAAAGTTGGAAAATATGAAACAGAGTGATATAATGCTTTCCCTGTGAAAAGACCACTGGTGATTTCTCTCCCCAAGAACGACGCCATATTCACCCCAGCCACGGGCAGTATTTTTAGCATCTATAGATTAACAAGGACTAGAGGAATGAAAATAGATGAAATAAATTGAATTAAAAAGACTACAGTAGGCCAGAAAATATATGATTTCAACTATCTGAATTACATATACAGATAGGAATAGGTTTCATTTTAGAGTTAATTTAACTAATAAGTATGTGAAACTAAAAAGAAGAAAATTGAAGACAAAATAATTTTAACTTCCTGATATTAAATGTGTCAGGTAGTAGTAGGATCTATTGGAGAAAAATAAGCAACCATAATATAACGACTTTGTAATTAAACTATAAAGTACAAACCGATTTAAAAAAAGACAGGAAAAGAAAAAGTGCATATTTTCTAGACTAAGTATTGGGAGGTTTCAGATTTAGGTGATTGTAAATTTAACAAGACTTGAGTAATGAAATTTGGAGAATCTTTTACTGTAGCATAATATGATTAACAGAATTTTTAAATGGATCATTGTCCTAATAAAGTTAAGAACACCAAAAAGTAAATCACATACCCACAGCATGAGGATAAAGAAATCACTCTAAGGTGATTATTTATGTTGATATAATATATGATGATATAATGATGAAAATATTGTTCTTAGGGTTATTACATTGGTAAGAATTGTGAAGAGAGGTTGGCCAGTTTCTCCTGCTCTCCCCATATCAGAAACTGCTCTCATATCCCTTAGTCACAAAAAGTGATAGCTGATAGCTTGAATTATTACCTTTCCCAAAGGTATTTGCATTTTAGGAGGAATCAAAGTCTTATGCAAATAAACTATCACTGCCCAGTGGGTAAGAGAAGATTTGGGACAAAGATAATGGGCTTCCCAAGGCTTCCTGATTCCTTCATCAAAATACTTGGTCTCATATTCTCTCACTAGGAAAAGTAAATTAAACTCCTAGTGGCCTTTGAACTTAGCCCAAAGAGGTCTACCATCGAGTTAACATTTTCTTAATATCTCAACACTTTTTAATAAAATCTCATAAGAATTTTGGATCCTACTCCACATTAGATGTTTAATTTAAAATAAAAATAATGAAACAAAACCAACAAAACTGCCTCCCTAATCTAGAGGAAAATCGGTACTCCAGAATGATTCAAGGAAAAATATAAATTCACGGTTGTCATTCTCAGTATCCCTTACCCACCCCACTATACTCCAGCATATAGACAAGTGTTTGTAATATTTGTCTCAGTGTGAGAATGAGTATGCTTTTTTCTACTTAATTTATTATTTAGACAGAAACCATGTTGTCAATATGAAACATTAAATACAACAGAATAAACACATATAAGTAGAAGCCACTTCTTTTGTTTTATTAAACAATCTGCAGCCACATGTATTGAGTCTGTTTTACCTGAATCATTAAAAGAGGCCTTTGAAAAATGTACTGGCCAATTTTGTTCTGTTGTAAATTATACACAGTCAATAACTGTGTATAATTTGACCAGAGACGATTTTTCCAAAAGCACCAGAATTGAGCAATTATAGTGAAGTTAGACAACATAGAAAGTCACTTCAGATAACTCAGTCTCATAAAAACCCTGACAATGTATTTGTGTGGCATTTGGGTTTGAAGATTATTGCCCAAACCTCCAATATCTCTATTGAAATCCAAATTAGAGTTTTAGAGGCAAAAGAGAGAAAAAGTGTAATTTAGTATAATGTCATGGAATTGATTATTTGCCAACAAAAGAGAGAAGAGAGTAGTCAAATAAGTAAATATTTCTTACAGATTTTTGGTAAATTTCATTTTTTAAAGCACATATCATTATAAATAACCCAGAAAGGTAAGCAGGCTACAGATTACCCTGCAAAAAGATCACAGCCTGGGCATTGGGTTTCCATAGTGTCAATCTTATTGCCATGTGGAATAGTGTGGCAATAAGCTTGATATCATGAGACTACATTGAAATGTTTGCCTATAGAAAAGCTAACTTTCTATAAGGAAGCTAAAAGGAAGTGGATCCTAAATTATGACAACGATTGACATGCATTTGAAAATAATGAAACCAGCAGCTATTTCAGTGCCTTTGACTCTCTTGGACAGAAGAATATTACATTTCCAAGAAAAAGCAAAAACTAAGAATGAGTGCCCACTACCTGTCTGACATAATCATACATGTTCATTAAACTTGCCCTACAATGACACTATCATCATTCTTAAGGTGAGCTTTACATTCAGCTAGAGAGGTCAAATAACTGGTCCAAGTTCAACTGGCAGGCAAATAGCAGAGTCAGAAGTTGAATTGAACTTCAAAACTTGAAGGGTTTTCATTCCACTTCACTAGGCATTGCCCGTCTCTTCCTCAATGCTGCCCCCTCCTCCCAAAGGAAGCATAGGAATCCCTCCAGAGGAGAGAAGTCTATTATTTTGTATCCAAAGAGTGGTAAATTTATCTGAAATTTATCTTCAGTTGCATCCAATCTGTGGCCCAACTACATGGACAGTGGCCAGGTGATTGGAGTTCTCTAAAGTAGTTGTTTAGAAATTTGCATTTATTAAAATCACACAGGGGATATGCTTAACATACATATTTCCAGGACCCAATTCAAATCCACCATTAGCAATTCCCTCTTTCTTTCTTCCCTCCCTTCCTTCCTTCCTTCCCTCCTCCCCCTCTCCCTTCCTTTTCTTCCTTCTTTCTTTTTCTCTTTCTTTCCTTTCTTTCTCTTTTTCTTTCTTTCTTTTCTTCCTTCCTTCCTTCCCTTCTTTCTTTCTTTCTTCTCTCCCTCCTTCCTTCCTTCCTTTCCCCCTCTTCCTTTTCTTTTCTTTTTCTTTCTTCCTTCCTTCCTTCCCTCCCTACCTACTTCCTTCCTTCCTTTCTCCCTCCCTCCCTCCCTTCCTTTTCTTCCTTCTTTCTTTTTCTCTTTCTTTCCTTTCTTTCTTCCTTCCTTCCTTCCCTCCCTCCCTTCCTTTTCTTCCTTCTTTCTTTTTCTCTTTCTTTCCTTTTTTCTTTCTTTCTTCCTTCCTTCCTTCCTTCCCTCCCTCCCTCTCTCCCTCCTTCCTTCCTTCCTTCCTTTTTTCTCTTTTTCTTTTTTTCTTCTCACTCTGTCACCCAGACTGAAGTGCAGTGGCATGATCATAGCTCACTGCAGCCTTGAACTCTTGGGCTCAAGTGATCCTCCTGCAACAGCCTCTGAGTAGCTAGGACTGCAGGCACATGCCACAATGCTGGCCCTTTTATTTATTTATTTTTTGGAACAGATGGAGTCTCACTATGTTGCTCAGGCTGGTCTGAAACTCATGGGCTCAAGCAATTCTCCCATCAGCCTTCAGAGTAGCTGGGATTATAGGCATGAGCCACTGTGCCTGGCTACCATTAGCAATTTCTAATGGTGGGCACAGGGACATGCATTTTTAACAAATGCTTTGTCTATTCTGATACACATAATCGTATATAAACCCTTGCTGTAACCAGAAGAGTTAGTACAATGTCAAACCAATCCCAAATAGTTAATCCCAAATGGACAGCTTGCAACAATATCCTGACATGGCTCCAGAGTCAGACCCCCATATCTTCAAATAGTGAAGCTCTAATAAAATGTATGATGTATGTTCCACAAGTTGACTGTCTTCTGAAAAAAAGAATCAGCATGCATATGACTTTCCAGTTCACTTCAGATTAAAAGTATTTCAAAAATCTCTAATCACAGAATTAAAGCAGCAGGTCATAAAGACTCTAAAATTATCAGGTGAACGTATCGCTGCAAGCCTACCCTTAATGAACTATGAATATGAAACCAAAATAAAACCTAACTGAACAGATTAATCAACATCAAAATAAAGGGTAATTAGTTTGCATCCTAGAAAAGAATATCAAAAAATGTGTGAATTCCTTATGATTTTCCCAATGAATAAGATCAACAACTTTTATGATGCTTTCAGTCATTTTGCACAGTACATTGTAATGAGAATATAAAAATTTTAGAATACATTCTGAGCATTATAGAATCTAACTATTTTATTATATCAGGATAGAAATATTAAAGTAGAAACTTAACAACTTTGCTATAACCCAAAGAGATGACACAACTCAGGCCATCCTCTATCTAAGGAACCCTATGGAAGGTGGGTGGCTCCAAAAAAAATCCTGAAATGGCCAGTGGTGTGTTTGTCCTGTGTGGAGATCCCACAGGAATTGTTGCCCAAACGGGGGTGGTGAATGATACAAACTATGGAGAAAAAGGCAGAGACCTGGGCCCCATTTCTGGCTCCTGCTCCTCCAGGTACAAACTGTGTTCCTTTTTAAAGGTCACTTAATTCCCAGGAGTTTGGTAATAAGAAAATATATGAGAACTACTTCAAGAATATAAAGTAATTTGTTCGATTTCTTTAACCCTAAATTATCCGACTAGAAAGACTGCATCAATTATATTAACATCTTTGAGAAAAGATACACTGACAATTGGAAGGGAAAATGGTTTTTCTAAAATAAAAATGACTGATAGAAATGTGTTTAATATGTAAAAAAGAAAGATTGAATAATATTATGGGCACATAGTTTAATGAACGAATGAACGTCTAAAATGCATTTTTGAGGGTACCAAATGCAGGTTACATACATTCTTCTAATTTTCTTCAAATTATCAAATGGAATATTATCAGTAAAGATACAATAATCTGCTATTTCATTTTGAATAATTATATTTATTCATTTACACTCTATTCAAGAAAATATTTCAATTAATGAACTGGTAGTATATTTTTAAAAATCTTGTTTGAGAGACAATTGAACAATAATTGAAATGACAATAGAAAATAAAGTATGAAATGTACGTAACTTTTGAAATATTATCTTAAAGGATAGCCCAGAAATAATTCTAATTTTTTTTTAAATATCTAACTACCAAAATATATTTCCTGGGACTAATAAGAAATTCTGTGTTCATATATGCAGTATCACATATTATACAAACATGACTTCTCTCCAACTCAGGCAGAAGTAATCAGTGGTCAAAGGCAGGCTTGCAGTATCTTAATAAAAACCAAAACTTTTTGGAGTCAGGAACCATCTAAGCACTTTAGATACACTGTCTTGTTTCATTTTCTCTGAAATCCTAAATGACAATATTATCACCATTTTACATATGAGATAACCAAGAATGAGAGGGGTAAGTACCTTGCCCAAAGTCACACAAGTATGAAATGAGAACACTAAAGTATAAATGTAGCTTAATCTCTATTTACACTCCTAATTACTTCATTTTCCTGCCTCCCTTTCCTTGATTTTTTGAAAGAGAATTACTTCCTCCTCACACATGTATACTTGCTACAACTCTTTACATATGGACACTCTGATCAGGTAGTTTTTCATGATGTTCCAGCAAAATGAAGACATTCTGCCACAAGCCTTCTGGCTTCCTGAATCATCACCCCTTACCCTCACCCAATGTACTGCGATAATCTCTGGGGCCAGAGAACATTTGTGTATAATGTAGAGTTTCTCAGATCTGCCACAGTCAAGACGTTGGTGGAAACATGGCTCCAGGATGCCACACACAGAGACGAGGTAGAAGGCAGGGGCAGGTTACCATGGCTCTCCCTGAAATGTGAAAAGCAGAAACCTTTAGCCCGCTATGGTGTTGTTGGTTCCCTGAGATGTATTGCCATCACTGAAAGAAAAGAAAATTATTTTCTCTAGGAAACCAAGTGCATTACATGTAATCATTTACGTGCTGTTTAAAAGATTTACATATTGATGAGCCCAAGACTTCTCATTTTCCTTCCATTTCTACATTGTCTCTTTGGTTATAGCTGGAAGCCCATCACAAAGAAAACCCCATTTGGTAACATTTCACTGTTAATTCTAAACATGCATAAGTCATGTCTCCTTGCAAGGTCATGTCCTGTAATACAGAGATACATTTGGGGATGAGTCAGCTAGCTCAAAAGGGTAGAAAGGCAGCATCTTAGTGTTGATGTCTTATCACCCTATAGAGTACTTTATCCAAATATATTCCCATGAAAACTGTTTGAAAAGAAGAAATCTGTCACAAACTCAAATGGCATCTTGGAGATCTAGGTCCAGTAACTCCCTTCCTACCTTACTCCAGCCATGTAGTTATTTGTCAGGACAGAGGAGCGTATATTAAAATAGCACCTTGGAGTGTGGGAACCCAACAGGGTTGTGTGGAAGGAGATTATATACTCTTTGCCACAAGCTAGGTTCATGCAAATTTCTCACCACAACTCCAATAATTCCCAGTTTCATACCAGGTCTTAAAACTCACCCTGTAAAGGAGTTGGTGAATTTGTTGCTCAGTCCAACCTCTCTCAATGCCAGGACTGGAGCTATACTCACCAGACCTCCATTATCAATGGTTCCTAGGGTATCCTACATTGCTTGCATCTGTGGTGTGAAATATCTTTAGTTTCTGTTTTTAGGTCAAGTGTGCAGGAGTCGACTAGCATAAAGTTGATTGTTTTATTTATTACACACATATTTCCTTAATGCCTGATTCATGCCAGATACTGAATTGGGTGCTGAGAAACAACAGTGAGCAAGATAAATCTGCTCCTGGTGCTGAGGGAGACTACATTAGTAGGGGAGACAGAAAATAGTCGACAAATTATAGTGGAGACAGTTATAGACATACCTTCTCATTGTCAACTATATTCATTCAGACCAGAAAAAAAAAAAAAGAGAAAGAAGAAAAGGAAGAGGGGTTGGAGGAGAAGAAATGAAAGAGAAATATAAGAACTTTAAATTATGCCCGCTATTATTCTCACTGATAACACATCCTGAGGCAAACGTGATCCAGAAAATATGAAATCTCAGTTACCACCTGCCACTCATGTGAACATCTCACCACTGAATGATTGAGTGTTTTTAAGGTATGACAACTAAACATAAGCTACTGTCTTCACCTTATCTTCAACTGAATTCACAGCAGTCGGGAAGACAAAGAGGTTATGGCAGATTTATTAAAGACAGAACAAACAAGTACATCCTCCAATATGGTGCCTTCTTATAAGATTTCTCAAAGGTAATTTTGACGTTGTGTGACTTCTGTTTACTAAAATGTGTGAGCTATGTCTTTGTTGCATGATAGTGTGGTATACAGTAGAAAAGAAAAGTTCCAAGTGCTTAGGTAGCCAGAGTTTTTCCTGTTTGATTTTACACATCATCATATACACACATGGGGGTGGAAGGGTTGTGTTTTTCTGCCAAACACTGTAGCATTAATCCTATTTCTTTTGGTACGCCTGCCGAGTACTTCTGGTATCTTAAGTGTGCAAAGTAATTTTGAAAAGATCAAAGCATTTTGCCAGGACAAAATCTTTTCTTGCCTCAGAGGAGGATGTATTTAAACCCAGAGCAATTATTGATAGAAGTGAGATGGCTCCAAAAGAACCCTTTGTCAAAGTCTTCACTCTTCCTTTCTATTGGTAGACTTCAGGATGAGACAAATGACTATTTCCTTCTAGTTTGTTTTCTCACTGAACATTGCTAGCAAGGCTGCTCAAATGAACTGGGTTGAAAGAGAGAGTCTTCGGATGAACGTGCTGTATGTAATGACAGAGAATCTGAGTATAAAATGGAAGCAATTGCCTGCATAACTCAAGGCAAAACTCACCTTTATCTCTATTATCTAGATACTTGGAGTAGGAGAGAGGCAGTAAATTACCAAGATAATTGCATTATTTCTTCAACTCATTGAGCCTTCATACTCAACTACAAAGAGTTTCTTACTTTTTTTGCAAATATTTCAGTTTCTAAACTAAATTGAAATAAGTAACAAAACCAATGAAAGCATTATCATTCAAATAAAGATTTGATGACCCAAAGAAATGTATTCCTTCTATAGCAAAATGATAGTAGTTAACTTTTGCATTACTATTATATTACAATATCACTTAATTGATATTCAAAAACACGCAAACCCATGCTACTTTCCCATAAACTGAAGTGGAAAATGTTGAAATGGAGAACAACAACCAGAATGCGTAAATAAAGAATGAAAAGTTTTGTCATGTTCTATTAGAGGTTTTCATGTTAGCATCCTATTATATTAGTATTTGTTTTCACTAATATGATATGAAAATTGCTGGAATGATTACATAGTCATATCTTGTTAGGCAACTCAAATTCTAAAATTATATGATTCTAATATAAAATGAAAGAAAATTGTTAATATTATAAAAAGTTTCTAATGTGATATGAAGGCCTATCTGGAAAAAAAACAGTTTAAGTTATTTTGATGTGATTTCTTGGAAATAGTTTCTTTATAGGAACCAGGTGGTGACAAAGAAAGAGAAATTGGGCTTGAGAACATCACTGCTGAACTGCCTATGTAAATGGAAAATATTTCTCTCAGGTAAGTAATACACTGCATGAAATTTTTTAAATCCATTCTAAACAATTATGAATATTAATTAGCAGAGTTGAGATCTTTTTTGTTTAGTGCAGGCCTAGATAGCTGTAGTCATTTAGATTTTTGTATAAGGAGAGACACTTAATAATGTTTCTTTACATAAATTGCTATCATGTGAAAGTTACTATTAATTAATTAAAGTTTCTAAGGAATGTGTAAACATAACTTTATTTTGCCTTGAATTTATTGCTAAACAATACAGCTTGACATATACTTTGTGGCGATAAATGTAGGGTGTTGCCTTAAGTTAAGGGAACAGTTCTTTAGTGTTTACTAAAAAACTGTTACACTTCTTAAATGTGATGATATATCATTCAATAATCTACTTAATAAAATAACTTTGGGTTAAGCCAAAAGCTCTTTTTCAATCTGGGAATAAGGATGTTACTTTGGGGTGTCGTAAGTAATGTACCTATTATAACTTTGAAGTCAAAGTAGACTTCTTTATCAAAACTTGTTTTATCTTGCAGAAACCTGGCAAAGGAATCAAGTTGAGAGCTAAAAGAAATGTTAAAAAAAAAAATAGATTGTAAAGGATGTTACTTACTTAAAAAAAATACTGATTTCAAAATTCTGTAAGATTCTCTAAAATAATATATTTGAATGGACTGCCACATTTTAATATTTATCTTAATGAAATATTTTATACACTGAAGAAATCTTTTTTCTCAAAGATGACATTATCCACAGTTTACAAAATGATTATGATTGCCTGAAGGGCTTGGCTTAGGAAATCTAGTCCTGACATATATTACTTTTATGGAAAAATAAATTTATCTCAATTGGCTCTTAATGTCAGCTGAAAAGGGGAACCATTTAAAATTAGCTGCCAGACACAGAAATGATCCTATTTGAAATTAGAATATGTTTTCTAAAAAACGCAAAGTGACAAAACTGACTTTGGGATAGAGCAACTTTTTAATACATTATATTTTATCTTAAATATGGTACAGATTGTGTTTCTCAGAAACAGACTATTCCCATCTCCTTGTCTTTCAATCCTCCACTCCAAGGGCTCGATCCCCATGTTCTAACTCTTCAAATGATTTGGGATAAGAACTATTCTAATGTAAACTTCCACAGGGCCATTTGGAGCTCTGTGCAGAATCAATAAAATAAATTAGCTGAAGTAACAGCTGAGCTAATCATGAGAATGTTTAAAATGATAAGAACTTGAATTAAAGTTTTTCTAAGTGCCAATGGATTTAACTAACTACCATATGCTGTTCCACTTTGAGCAACAGGTCTAGTTATCAAGTCTCCTATTGTCCAAGGTGAAGAAAGTCAGGTGGAAGAGTTTCTGGGGCCAGTAATAAAAATTAGAAGATCCATAACACTTTGTGATCCCTTTCCAATACACTGTATAATGAAAAGATCAGATTTATGTTGAAACAAGAAAGAGAATGTATTCCATTAAAAGAAAAACAAAAACTGCAGTTTCACTCTATATCTTCCATAAAGAATGGATTTTCCTGTATCGATATCACTACAGTTTTTAAATTTCATTCTTATTTATGCTCTAATTAATCAAGATAACATAACCCATCCTAAAGTTAAGCTTTATCTAGGCAACTTTTCTAATGTTTTCATTAACTTTCTTTAAATTGCCAGCATGGTGAAGATGTAATGTGTCACCTAGGCCCTTGTCTTTATTTCAGTCTGTAGTGGTGGAAGCCACAAAACTTATACACCATATTATCCACTGCAATGAGAATACAGCTAGCCCCAAATCAAATGCTTTTCTTTCCTCAAAGCCTCAACAATGTTGCCCTCCCCCCCTATAAATTAGCAGTGTTTAGAAGGAGACTTGTGCACATTCTATAGATTATTTTAAGGAAAAGCTCTGTCATCCATAATACATTTGGGCTTCTTTCTAGTTGAAGATTTATAATTTTTTTATTGATGGGTTATGAATATTGACACAGGAGATATTCATTGTTTATTGAAGGCTTGTTTACATAAAAGATCTTCACAGGCTACCCCCTAAGTCTAGAGGTCCTAAACCAGTGTCAGGGAGCTGTCTGGGTATTTTTTCCCACGTATTGCACTGCCATTCTACCAACAATAGAGGCCCATTAACGTTTGGCCCTTCAAGTTACTGCAGCCCAAGCCTCAGTGGCAGGACGTCTGCCCAATATGTAAAATAACGGAATGAATGGATTCCTTGGAAACAATGATAACAAGACCTGGCTGAGCTAACTGTGACAGCATGTGGTAATTTTCCAGCCCGCTGGCCCTGTAAAGGAAACTGGAACACAAAGCATAGACTGCGGGGCGGGCCAGCCTGAATAGCTGCAAACAAGTGCAGAATATCTGATGATGTCATACGCACAGTTTGACAGATGGGGCTGGACAATTTTTCCCCCTTTAAACGTGTTCTTAACTATTTGTATTCCACTGGCTTCTCACTTGGGAAGTTCAATCCTGTAATCACCTGCTTGAAAGACTAAACAAACCTTAACTGTCATGTGCTTGATTCAAGTACCACCAGTTTTATGAAGAAAAATGATATCCATTATTAGTGGCTGAATGCTGAGGGGAGCAGTGGGGGAGAGGGTGTTGCTGTGGATTAATGCATCATCTCTGCTTTCAGCTGTGGGCCAGGTTTTGAGTCTAGCTCTGACTGAATCCTGCCATACACTTTGAATAGCATAATGAAGTATTGTTATTGCCTCAGTCTAGTCATTACATCAGGGAAACAGACATCTAAAGTTATCAAAACTGATTACTAGCTGAGCTTTTGTGTCCATAAAATAAATGCATTAAAAAGAAGGCTTTTTTTTTGTTGTTCTTATGGGTGTTCTATCAAGGTTGGATGTTTTAGTGTTTATAGCACTATGTGTCACTGTGTGTAAGTTGGTGTTAGGGTATATCTGTAGTCAGTACTCTCCCAAAACATGCCCATATGTGGATCTGCATGCGTGTGTGTTTAAGCTGGTGCATGGGAGACAGAGAAAATGAAGATTGACAACATTTATAAAAATGAGACACAACTCAATTAAAATTCACCGAAAATAGTAAATGAACCAGAGTACTCAGTTTAATTGTAATGACACAAGACTGTCTTTTTCTACCCTTCAAATAAGTAGCTGCTTTGGATCTCACATGTCTTCACCATTTTATTCATTTGGTTCTTTTTATTTACTTTTCAAGGAATTTATGTAAATATATGTAGGCTACAAAATAGGTCTCAGATACAGCCTGATTCTGTAATCTTTTCATCAAATAGCTAACCAAAGAGAGATAGCCAAAGGATTCTGTTTATGGAGAAGTGAGATCTGTTCCACAGAAAAGCATGGCGCACTGCCTAGCCTATAGACACAAGAATAATAGAAATAGCATAAAATTAAAAATTAATGATTAGGTTTTACAAAATATCTTTTCAACTAGGAGAGCACCACACCCTAAACTATGGTCTTTAGATTCTCCCAGATTATAGAAGGTTTACAGAAGCTATCCCAAACTTACCTTCCCCTGTCTTAAGTAACATAGTTGTTGGGTAGGAAAATAAAAAGGTGATACATGTAAGCAAAGGGAATTCTCACTTTCACCCTTGAAGAATCACTACGCTCCGCTTACCTCTACCCACAACCTCCACCAACATCTTTTAGATGTGAAAAGAAAAACATATCCCTGATATTATCTACCATTTACCAGTTCACCTAGACATAATCAAACTATGCTTTGGTGGTCTTTCATGCATTCATTCAATGATGAGTGCCTGCTATGGGCATGACACTGAGCTATATCTTTATTCTTTGCAAAGACTCCAACTGGGATTGTGTTATCTCTTTAAATTCAGTGTAGGAGAATTATTTGCACAATGCACATTTGCGCCAGTAGCTGCTTCTCAACAGAGCAGTTGTGGTTCACAAGGAGCCAAAATCATCTATTCTTAGATTATGCCTAAATTTGAGGGCCTTGTAGCTACCATAACCTGTAATGAATGAGAAGCTCATCACAGGGCACGTTGTTTATGAGAGGAGTTTTTTCCTGCTTCCCACATTTTCTGCTAACTAGCACCAAGGGCATCCCTCTACACGTTTACACCAGATGGAGGTTCCCAACTGTTACTGAAAGTCAAATTGTTTTATTAGTAGCTGTGGTGCTTTCATCTCGAGAGGAGGTTAAGAAGGTGAGAGGAATGAAAAAAAAAAAGGTGGGGATAGGTAACAAGAGTTTTCAATGATCACATGTCATAATCTGAAACTATCCACAAGCTGTTCTTTGAGACTTGCTTCAGATCCCTCTATGTCAGCAGCCTAGGTGGGGCATTGTTAGAAGGCTTTGAGAGGATAGCCAAGGACTTTAGTTGAGGAACAGTGTGATACTAGGTAGGAAGGAAAGACAAAATCTCAAGTTCCCACTGCTAACAATGAGTTAAAAGTGTGTTAGCACATTACCTTTTTCAAGTCCTCATCTGACCAAAAAACCAAACTACCGAGGTTAATAAAAATAATAGCAGCTAGAATAAGAATAATTATAATATTTTATAATGACTACAACCTAACAGAACTTTTGAAAGAAATTGATAGATGATGTTTCCACACATATTTGTACAACTTGTAAAAATATCAGTAAGGATAATATCATATTAAGCCAAACCAAGGATCATCCACAGTTGAATATCCTAGAGGTGTTCTATGAAAGGACATATTGTCATTCAAGTTCACACCTCCAGAAGTTATTTATTCATGCAGATATGTCAAATTCCTTAAAAATCAATTACAGGTATACCAGAATTTAATCTAGAGGTTTCATGAATCTACTGAGAATTTAAGACTATCATCACTTCTTGGAGTAACAAGATTTGTAGCTATACTAGCCACTTCGCAAAACCATGCTTTGTATCTATCTGAAAATTATAATTCAGTTCAACTAAATAAAAATTTACTAAGAATTTACCTAGTGAATAGTACAATGCAAAAACCAGTAGAAATACAAAGGTGGACAAGGAGCCCACAAAAGTGTCTGCAATTGTCCTGGAGGAGCAGATATGTTGTGGAGAAGTATATGTTATATATAAAATCTTTTAAAAAGTCCCTTAGAGGGAGTGCTGAGGCTTAGGGAATCTGTCCATATTATCCCAAAAAATGTTACATTACAACTTTTGAACTTGGATCAAGATGTCACCCATTTGTAGAGCCTTCATCGTTCTAGACTGAAGTTGTCTTTTAGTTGATCTGCCTTCAGAAAGCACCTTTCAAGTCTTTCATCATTTCAGTGGCTTTTCTCTGAACACTCTCTAGTTTCATGACTTATTTCTCACTTTCCAGAAAGCATGTTTAAGTGTAAATGGGCTTTTGAACTTGGTTTGTAAAAATAAGATGGAACACTCAGCCAGGTACAAGTCCAAAGTAATGGAGACCAAAACTTTGTATTTAAAAAAAACCACATAATTAAAACCAATTTTTAATGTCCATTGCTCCTATAGAACACTTCAAGAAAAGGTACAATTAGAGACAGAGATTTGAAGATAGGAGCAAGGAGCTTCATGCATTTTTATCAATTGCTTAGCAAAAGCATTGGTGAGGGATATAATCCGTCATAATATCGAATTCTGCCATTACTGTTTAACATAGTAAAGGTACATCATGGCATTAAGTATTAAGAGACCTGGTTTGGGGTACAGCAGATGTGTTTTGTCTTTTTCTAAATGTGATGTTGAGAAAATCACCGGTCCTTTCTGCACCCTGTCTCTTTATTGTTAGAATAGAAAAAATATCTATGCCACAGAGCTCTTGATTAAGGAACTAGAATCTAAAAAGCTTAAAAGCTTAATTAATCTATAGCCTACTATTATTAACAAAAATAAAAATAATAAAATAAAGGCTCTCCTTTCCTCAATTGTGAAATAAAAATTTTTGTGTTTTGCATGAGCTTTACAGTTTATTTTAGCTCTGAAATCCTATGTCTTTGTAAAGCAGAAATCTATAAACAAGATGGCAAACACCATCTTTCACTTATTTATTTAAAAAAGGAGGCATAACTTGAAAGACAAAAAAGAAGCAGCAGGCAGAACTGTGGAGAGGGGCCTTTCACAGTCCCAGTCTCACACTTCACTCTAGCTCTATTCCTTGCTCATTTAATGACCCCAAGCAAGTCAGGGAACCTTTTTGAAACCATTCATGGAAAGGGATTATTAATGCCTACTTCAATAGGAAAGCCCTTTGTGAACTTCAAAGTGCTACAACATCGTCAGTTATTATCATCTGAGAATACTTGGGAACCTTTATTTGTACTGTCCATATCACACCCGTAAGCCTTCAGCTTCTACAGAGGTGTTTCAGCATTTCTGTTGCCAGATCTATTAAAGCTGAAAGTCAGTAAGGATCAACTTTTAAAATATCTTTATTTAAAAGACTTATTTAAATTTTTTAAACGTCATCCAAAAATCTCTTGAAATGTCTTCTTTGAAGAGTTTATTTACAATTTTTATTTACTCATTTTATTAAATGTTATGTCTTTGGTAAAATCTGCTTTCTGACTGGACTCATCAAGTTCATTGTATAGTCAAGTCTATTTCTGAAATTAGAATATGTAGAGAGAGAATCTACTTCAATTTAAGATGTTGTGCTAAAATATTCTTGAAATCAATTCACCGATATTCATTAAATCCCTCCTAAAAGAATACCATTGAGATAGAGGCTGTAATAAATTAAAAATAAATTAAGATGAAGTCACCAACCTCAAGACATTGACAAAACTGGTAGGGTAAAAAAAAGGTACACAAATGATTTTTATGGAGGATAAGATAAATGATTTATGAGAAATAAAAATGAAATATTATGAGAGAATCAAAAAAGGAAAAAAATATACCTTACTTGGAGAATAGTTCCATTTGCAATTAGAAAAGTTCTCTTCAGGACAGGTCTGCCAATAACTTGCAAATTAAAGACTTGAAAAGATTATAATTATAATGCAGGATGGCCCATTTAAAGAAGTCCCACTTAATATGCTTTCAACAGGAATAAGATAAAGAATACATAGTTCAAGCACATACAAATAAATCCCTTTTGAAGGGCACAAAGGACTTTATTATGTATGTGCTTTTTTTCTAAAAATGGGTCACTTAAATAGAATCACAATACCTTTTTAAAAAAAGACAAATTCAAAGAGATGATATAAACTTCCTGGGTAAAAATGATCTATTTTTATTTGTGTTAGTGAAAACTATATATTGTCCCATGTAGTGCCCTGTGGCATATTTATGGGTGCGTTAACTCAGTCATCAGGGTTATGCAGACCTCAGGGAGGGAGTCGGCTCCCAAAGAGGCCTCTTTCCAGGATATCTTTCTGTGGAGACTAGTGCCCTCTTTAAAGGATAGGGTCCCTCATCCCGTCCCTCTGCCCTCCCCCAGTCTGGGTCTGGGTACCATTAGTGCACTGGAGCAGTAATTTCACTAAATTGTACCTTACTGGCCCCCTATTACGAAAGGAAGTGTGAATGCTGCCAAAGCCCTTTCCTAACTGGCAATGGAATCACAGGTCAGAAAACATCTTTAGCAAGCATAAATTATTAGGCTGACTATAAAAGAGAGCTGACAGATGAAACAGGCATTTTCATGAGTGAACAATACAGCTTCAATTCAAAGACTGCTGATTGGGTGTTCAGCCTTCCAGCATAAACAGCTATTCAAATTTTAAACTGTAACCAAGTGAATAAAGAGAAGGAATGCCACGGCCACCTCGGGTTCTTCAGAACAATTCAACAAGAGATGTGATATAAATAAAATGTCAACCTATAGGTTGAGTATTTCTTCATCTTCCCAAGGGTGCTTCACAGCTCATGAAACAGAAGGGCAGTGTTTCAGACTATAGGCAGCACCAGAAACCTGAAGGGCCAAGTTCCCCCACTGGTTGTCCCAGAGCCTCGCTAGGAGATGGTCACTGAGCACATCAGCCTCCCTCTCCTCCCACCCTGTCTGTTAGAGTCGTTCCCAGCCTCCTCTTTTGTAAGATGTTATCTGTATTCATGGGGCGAGGCTATTGGGGATGAAGTCACAAACATGTAATTATAAACCTTGTAACAATGGAAAGCATTCTACTCATAAGAGAAGTAGACACTGTCAGTTTCTCGCTGAGATGCCACAAAGGAAGAGTGCCTCCCTGAGATAAAACTATATGTAATTAACAAAAATGAAAAGCATTTATCTCTATGTTTTGCCAAAAGACACAAATCCCAGATGTTTAAATCCTGCTAACATTTCTTGGGAGAATAAGATAAGAACCTAAGACCATCTGCAATCTTTGGTTGTATGTAAATCTCTGATTAAAATACAGGCATGTAGCTGAGTGTATCTAGTGACAGGAGACACATGAGTGCTGAGTGCTTGCTTAAAGAGAATGCTTCACTATTTTACCCACTGAGTACATTATCTAACAACGCCAATATATTGGACATTTCCATGTTGGGCTTAAATTGTATCCTCTTGAGTTTTAGAAGGTCACAAGAAGCTATTTTAGGCATAAATAACAAAGGAAGTGATCTGTAATTTCTTCCCTGAGCGACCTCAGTCCTGTGCCTTCTGAAAGACCTACATGCTGGGCACTCTGTCCCCAACCCTTGCCCCTATAGGGTCAGTTTGTGTCTCTTTTCCTACACAAAGAGGCACCTGTTATCACAGAACACTTGCTTGTAGGTAGTTGCTTCTGAGTTAATTTTTCAGTACTTTCCACTGTAAGCTGAGAAGTCTTCCAATACTGATGATATCTATCCCTAAAGCTCCCAGGTCAGTGGAGACCTCTGATTGTTTTTAATGAATTGAGTGCACAAACAGCTGTGTTTACATTCAAGATCTAGTCAAAGGAAGTTAAATTAAAATTTACTTTTTTAATCTCGATATGTTTGCATCAGATAATAATTGTGAAAAATGTGCTAGAGGCCCAAAAGTCACTGTTAAAAATATGTTTTGAGATGACATTTCTTTACATTGATTTGAATTACAAAAACAAATGGGCCTGTCTGCTGTGAAGTACTGCTTTCTAACTTCCATGCTTCCTGGAGTATAGAACTGGTAACATTATTTTTAGATACTAAGGAGAAAGCCCATAATTTACTAATAAACAAGGAGTTCTGCTGCTGAGAACTACCCTAAAATGTGCCATTAAAAAGGAGGGACTTTAGGAAGGAGAAAATTGCACATGTGTGCAATTAGATATGACTTTGATAACCCATGACCTCAGGTTGAGCTGTCATTCATTTAGCATCCTGCCCATAACTACAGTTTAAATAAGGGTCTATGTGACCTGTATGATTTAAGAAAGAGTAGGTCCATACACAGGCAAGCACTATTGTAAAGAAACCACATTATGTTTGAGAGTCTTTTGTTATTTAAAGTACCTCTGCCAAAGTGGAACTTCAGGCATTGCTATGTGATAATGCTGTCTGAAAAAGACATCTCACGCAACCTGCAACTAACTGGAATATGTTAAGTTTGATGCTTATCCTCAATCCAGTTGTGGGTTGTTGACATGTGATTATATTGATGAGCAATTCACAGTTTCTCACAGCAGCATTTCAGGATTCATGTTGACTTAATTTTCTATACTCTACTCCAGTTGATTTTGTTTTTTAACACAATGCATATGAAAATAAACTTTCTTCTCTTACCCTAGTAGGAGTGTGCTTTATTAAATTTTTCTCTGCCCTAATATATCTGAGTGAAGCAAGTACATACTAATCCTGATCCAGAAAATTTTCAGAGAAAATCTATACGTTATCATCCATTGATTGCCTTAACACTGATCTTTTTAGGCAAAGCAATTATGGTGAATTTTGTAACTAAATGTAATCTTAATAGTAAAATCCTCAATAAAATAAAAGTAACCTTCATACCTGTTATGTTTACTCTGTAAATCCTAAAACATTTGCATCTACTCTAGATAAATGCTGTCCATGAGATTTTGAACATCCATTGTACCATGGGTACTTATTTTTCTTTTTCTTTTTCTTTTTTTTTTTTTTAAGAGATGAGGGCTTACTATGTTGCCCAGGTTGGAGTGCAGTGTCTTTTCACAGGTGCAATCGTGACACACTATAACCTTGAACTCCTGGGCTCAAGCAATCCTCCTGCCCCAGCTTCCTGAGTAGCAGGGGCTACAGGTGCATGCCACCATGCTCAGCATACTTCCTTATAATAGTCATCATCTTGCTATTACATGTATTCAGTGTCAGTCTTTCCTCTTCATTAATGGGCCTTAACTCTGGGTGAACATTAAAAAATTCTAAGAACTTTTCAAAAGCACTCATGCCCAAGCCAATAAAACTGAATCTTCATGTGTCTGTGCATTGGGGGTGGGGATATGGGAGACTCGGTGTGGTTATTAATTTTTTTAACTTCCAAGATGATTCTAATGCTAAGCTAGAGAAAATTTTAAGCTAGAGACAAAACTCACTGTCCCAGGTTGTTAGGTCTATGAAAGACGGGATGATTAGTGTATATTGTTGTCTGGAAAATAATAGTACTCAAGAGTCACGTCACTATTGTCATGTGCAACACACGATTTTGTCAACAAAGCTCACACAGGAATTTCAGAAACCTCCCATATATCAAAGTAACCTTGGACATTGGCCTCTGAGCATTATTTCCAATGAAATAGAAGATGATGTAACTGTGACATTAATTCAGGTCTTTCTAAGTTTAAGTTTTGACCCTGTGGAGGTCAGCAGCTGCTGAATACTACCTTAAACACTCTTACTACAATCTCCCTACCCCTGGAGTACACAGGAAGGGTAAACTGATGTTCCCCTTCCCATACCTTGCCTACCTTTTCTGGTCCATGAGCATGGAATCATGCATGAATAAAACTTGTTGCATTAGCAAGAAGAATGTTAACCTTTTCATTCCCTCATATTAAAAGGTGGTGAGACATAAAATTGCTATTTCCAGCTAGAATATAAAGACATACGGATATCTACAGTGAGTGATATTCTTGGTGCATCTAGGTTATAGGTCTAGCTCTGATAGAAACACTAAGGGAGATGTTGATGAAGAGCAGTATCTGCCCACCTTAATACCAAAATCAGGAATCCATATCTGAATTTAACTTATCTTTTTAAATCAATTTACGTATTAGTTATTACCACCTATTGGATTATTGACCTCTCTAAATGTGTCTTCCTCTTCCAGGCTTCAATGGGAGTTCTCTTCAATCAGCACTGTGGGATTCAGAAAATAGCCTTGTACTTTCTCAATAGAGACCACTGGTGACATTAGTGACTTCAAGCACGTATCTGCTCTGCCTCCTTCTTTCTAGATGAAAGAGTCCAGGCTTTCCAATCTGTCTTCAGAGGATAGTACCTCCAGCCTCTTGAGCATCTCAGTTCTGTTCTCTAGACAACTACATTGAATTGGAGGTATAGAATTCAGAGGCAATTTAAGTGGTTTCTCCCAGCTTTATGCTTTTTCCACCATACTTTTTTTCCTTAGTAAAACTTTAGTTCTAATTATGGAATAATTTGAGTGGATCTTTTTTATTTCTCCCCAAACCCTTGATTTCTCCTTGAATCTCATTTGTGTCTGTCAGTTGGCTGACATTTCCCAAGCATCCAAGTCTGTGCTTTGTAAATTTTGCCAGTTTCTCGGAATCATTTTACTTTTCAGGGCTTTCCCTTTATTTTATCCTTTTACAGTTCCTGTCTCTCCTCTCTTGGTAAATATGTCTTCCAAACCCTCCTTTCCCTCCTACTATTTCCTGGAGGAATTAATGAATATCTATATACTCCCTTTGTTAGTCTTCCAGCCTCATGCCTACTCCTCACCCCTGCCACAGCTACATATTTCCTGAAGTAAATTGGATTACTCACTGCATCCAATTGTCATTGACAGACATTCAAGTTCATATCCCCTCAAGCCTGTTTTAATTTATTAGCTTGAATTTTAACTTTTAGGATTCTATTTGACAAAGAACATATTTAAGTCCTTATTGATGATAATAATCCTAATAATAACTCCCACTTAAAGCATGTTTCATTCATGAAGTACATGCATTTTCTAAATAAAAGAAAAAGCATTAATCCTCTTAACCCTCCAGTGAGCCAAAGAAAAAGTGTAATTATTCCCATTTTGCATATGAAATCACTGAGGTAAAACAACGCATATTTCCCCAGTGGCAAAATAGAGCAGGAAGGAAATGAATGCCTGACTCCCAGTTATCTGCTAGGCTATGAAGAAAAAATTTCTTAAACTCAAGAAAATTCAGATAACCCTTTGTGCCAATGACTTACCATTGCCTCTCTGAAATGATTATAGTGAATATTTATTCAAGAAATTCTGAGACAGCTCATGTATGTCATGCTACCCTGAGGAGGAAATGTCAAATGACTGGGAATAAAAGAAATGCCATGAAGAACGTGGCCCACAGAGGCGATTAATATGGAGTTTATCCATTGAGATATAAAATTTAAATGGAAATCTTTGACTTAATGCAAGATGAAGATGAAGAATCCCTGGAGAGACTTCTAAGACCTGAAATAGTGTCTTTTCAGAGTTTAGTGACCTGATTGAACTTTCTTTCACCCTCCTTGTCCTCGTACAATGCTGCCCCTGCCTTGGGAGGCTGTGTCACAACAGGAACAATTTTTTAAAAATCACTCCTAATTTCTTCCATACAGAATATTTTGGTGGGTGGGGGGGCTGGCGGGAGGCATTGGTAATGATTTTTTCTTTTTCTTTTTTTTTTGAGACAGAGTCTCACTCTGTCACCCAGGCTGGAGTGCAGTGGTGTGATTTCGGTTCACTGCAATCTTCTCCTCCTGGGTTCAACCTATTCTCCTGCCTCAGCCTACCGAGTAGCTGGGATTACAGCCACCACACTTGGCTAATTTTTGTATTTTCAGTAAGGACAGGGTTTCACCATGTTGGCCAGGCCGATCTCAAACTCCTGACCTCAAGTGATCCACCCGCCTCAGCCTCCCAAAGTGCTGGGATTACAGGCGTGAGCCAGCACGCCCGACCGATTTTTCAATAAGATCTGTGACATCACAGGTACAATAAGTGTAGAATTGATGGAGTGAGGAATAACAAGGAAAAAAACACAAATTGAAAGTTTAGCCTTAAACAATTTTGACATAGTCTATGGCTATTACAACATTTAATATATACGCAAAAAGCCTATGGGAAAAATCTCTTGATTCAGGTCAAATTGATGATTGATTTCTATCTCTTGCTTACTGGATCAATTTAATGGCAGTAAGTATGTTTTTTGTTTGTTTGTTTGTTTGTCTGTCTGTTTTTGCATGAACCAGTTCATTCTCCGCCTGTTAAGGCAACTGGTTCAATTCAACTAGAATTTCCTCACATCCAGACACCTGGTCAGAGCATCTGATTTGCTTATGGTTCCTGCTAATTAATAGGCCATCCACAGCAGTAGTTTGTCTCTGTTGTAATTCTTATTTCTCATATTTATTGTTATTATTATTCACTCTTATGTATCAGTGGAATACTTGAAATCTTATTTTTTTCTCACTTCCAGGAGAAATTTACCCCACCTTTAACTTTCTGTCTACTACTATACTTAAAACCATAACCATGGTCAATCCTTGCCAAGGATTAAAGGGAATGTTGAGGGGGCCTTTCTCCCATGTTGCCCACATTTCTTGCATAAATCAAGATGCTATTCTCCTGAGTTCCTGTCTGTCTGCTTAGTCTGCTTATGAGGATCCATTGATAAAAACTCAGATAGTCAGGAAAACATAATATTGCTGGACCTTTCTAAAAAACTATGATCCTCTTTAATAAATTCAAGACAGCTAGAGGAGGAGACAAAATTTTTAGGTCAAAAGAGAAACATCTGGGTTTGGAGATTTGGGAGTGCAATATAGCCATAAGAGATTCTTTTGAATCTCTAAAGCTTCAAGTGCACAATAAGAGTATTAAATAGATCAAATTGATTCCATTTCCTGACTCCTTATCCTGTTTTGAGAACCCTTAAAAAAATCCTTTGGTCCTAATAACTATTCTGAGTGCCATAATACCCTTAAGGGATATTAATAAGAGTCCTCTTTAGGACTGGATAGGTTGGGATGGTGGAAGGAAAAAGAGCCAGGCTCATTGTGCATATTCATATTATGCAAACATGTGTACATCTCTGTTGCAAAGAAAGGATGAAAAGAAGAGGAAATTGGAGAATTATTTTTTTGTGTGTATGACAGGGTACCATTTCATTATTTTTATATTGAGATATCATCTGACCTCCATCCCAAATGTAGGCACTCATAGCTTTTTGCTATGAGCATAGAAAACCATTAGTGCTGACAGGCTGATCATATTCTCAAAAGGTCAAGATCTGCTGTAATAGTGCTTTTTCTTCATCATTTGTCACTTTTGTGGGGTCTTTTTAACTTCGGTGTCAACATATGTGTTATTCACATCTACGTTGACATCCTGACTTCAAAAGCATGTTTTATCCCTTTGCTTCAAATGCATGTAATAAAATAACCTATTTTTAATAATTAAAAACAATTTTATGAGAAGAAATACCTCTAATGTTGAGAATGCATCAATATACTTTTTTTCTTTGATGTTTATTTGGAATTTCTCTCCAAATTTGGTGAAGTAAAAATGGGCAGATATCACTACTCTTTGATGAGGCAAAAATGGGAAGGTATCATTAATTTCTCTTAAGAGGTGGAGCCACACAGAGGACTGACTCAAAGAGTCATCTGAGAATGAAAGTCAACTGTTCTCATTCTCAGTTAATGCTATCTTAATTAGAATCAATGCCTGAGGAGTGTAATGTTGAAGCATAAGTTAGTATAGTGCTATGACCTCTTCCCCCAGTTTTGGCTCTAAGAAAGTAGATGAAAAAAAAAGTAAAAGAATGGACTTAATGTCTGATCAAACTGAGAACCAGAGATTAAGAAGGACAAATCAACTACCTTTCTTCAACACCTTTCCCCCAACTCCCCCACTGCTCTTGACTTTCATTACTTCTATCCCAAACCTTCTGTTCGCCCCCCATATCCCAACAATGCCTTTTTTGTCTTATTTCTTTTTTGTTGTTGTTGTTGAAACGGAGTCTCACTCTGTCGCCCAGGCTGGAGTGCAGTGGCGCGATCTCGGCTCACTGCAAGCTCCGCGTCCCAGGTTCAGGCCATTCTCCTGCCTCAGCCTCCCGAGTAGCTGGGACTACAGGCATCCGCCACCATGCCCCGCTAATTTTTTGTATTTTTAGTAGAGACGGGGTTTCACCATGTTAGCCAGGATGGTCTTGATCTCCTGACCCCGTGATCTGCCCGCCTCGGCCTCCCAAAGTGCTGGGATTACAGGCGTGAGCCACCGCACCCGGCCCCTTTTTTGTCTCAACTTTTCCATCTAGGTCATTGCAAATATTCACAGTACAATTAAAACCTACCTTCTGGTCAATAATGGAGTGGAAATGTATTTGCGTAAAGTTTGAAGAGCTTCTTGAGAAAGAACTTGGATTTCTCCTGAGTCACTGATAGGAGCTTCCCAGGGAGATGTGGCTTTATTCCCTCATGGCACATAGTAGGAGGATGTTGCAAAGAAGCTAATGCCACCTGACAGCAATGATCTCACAGGCTACTGAGAAGCACAGTTTGGAGCCTGAGCTTTATCAGACAGCAGCTGTGACAGTGGCATATTTTAAAAGTGTATTGCAAATTTCACCTAAGTGGTCTTTAAAATAATTTGAAAGCCTCCTTGGCTTTCACAGACTTTTTTTTTTTTTGTATGAAATATTTTTCAGTGAACCTTTTTTTTTGTCTTCATTATTTTTTCTTTTATTCTTTTTATTATTATTATTATTATTATACTTTAAGTTTTAGGGTACATGTGCACAATGTGCAGGTTAGTTACATATGTATACATGTGCCATGCTGGTTAAGAAAGAACACCTCTCCTTTAAAAATTAAAGTAATATTGTCTATTTTATGTATCTGAAGGTAGATAGGAAATTACAGCCACTTTTAAAAAAATCTGTAGTTGATTATGTTGTTTCCAAATTTAATAAGCTACTATTAATCATTAACTCCCTCTAAAAAATAAACTGGGCAGTTTGGCACCTCACAACTGAATGAATAAAATATAAATTAAATGATGCTACCTTTGAGCACATTCCCACTCTAAGTCAGCTTTCCTAAATGAGTATTCATCCTATACTTTCCATGTTAGCAAATGAAAGGGCAGTGATAATGGAAGAAGTGTATATTCTGGGACCTCACACAAAAATTAGTAAAATAAACATCTTCCCTGTTAACTGCAGAAGAAAAACACTAAGCTTCTACTTCCTTAGCTGACCTCTTGCGGAGGGAATTTCCAGATCTAGATTGATCTGCAATTGAGAAGGATCAGCAAGGAAGGCCACAGAATCACAAACACAGCAGAAACTTTGAGAAGCCTTCACTCTCTCTTTCAACTTTCATGTAAATACTCTGAGAGATGAACATGAATTATGAGTTCTGAGGATTACTGGGGGTAATAATATCCACCTCTTTATCCCAGTGACTCTATTCTTGCCAGAGGTGAGGTCTAGGTTTCCCAGAACATTATGTTTACATAATTATGGGGGCCTTCTTTAAGCAAAATACTACAGAATTACAAGTAAAAATTAAGCCCAAGACACTGAGGTTCTAAAGCTTAAGCTTCATTAGCTTTACGGTAAATCTGCCTCAGGGTCTTAAACCCAGGTACAAGTTCTACTTCTGACAGGTACTGCAGTGGGCCAGATAGAGTTTTCATATTATTAAGAGTGTGGAGAGGGTTTTTTTCTGCATGAGATTCCTATGGGTATTAGGAAGACAACATGTTTCCCCCATTACAAGAGTGAAGTCTAAAGCCAATGAACTCAACTTTTAAGGGAAACGAGTAGTTGATCAAATATAAATACTTGACTAAACTTTCATTTCTTCCCATACTGTCTCTACAAAATACAAAGTTTCAAGAAGTCTGTAAAGCCAAGGAAACGGATAGTTCTGAAAGGGCACTTGGATCTTTTTTGTCAGTGATATGACCACATGTTTTATCCTTTTCTAGTGTACCAACTGGACACTCCAATGTGAAAGGGTGATTCCTAACTTGCAAAAGAGTGCTATCTTCACACAAGGACTGCAGGAGCTCAGCACCAGCAAAGGAGTCATCTCCCAGTGAGTAACTGCAAGTCTTTTCAGGGCATGACATACTCAAAAGCTAACTTAATCAATTCAAAATCACTCTATCTAAAGTTTTCAGCTAGGGTTGACTCATAGTTCAAAAGTCACGGAAATATTCCCCAGAACTGGTATATATAGAGTATATTAAACTTCAGTCAAGATGAGATCAGTACCAGGGCACTATTTACAGGAAGAAAGATTTCTATTCACCAGAATTTGATAAGTTCCCTTGATGGCTTAGTGAAATTTGACAAGTCTGTGTTTTCAGTTCTTTCTTCCACACTTCCTGCCCCTGTGCTTCCTCTTAGGGGGGGTATTTTACACAAAGTTCTCTTAATCTCTTACTCTCTCTTATGAAATAAATACTCGGTTTCCAAACTCCCACCTTCTATGGAAAGACTTTCATGCATGTTATTCCTTCTACGAAAATAAAATCACTCTACCATTTTCCAGATTATTTCATGTACAGTCAAGAACATCTCAAAGCCAGAAGGAATCAACTCCAGGTATGGGTTTTTTTAAAGAGCACCTAGAGATTAAGAGAGTGAAATGTTCCTCAGGATCATAACACAACTTCTCTGACTCCCATCATCAGTGATTAGTCCTATCGTTTTTGTTGCTTTTTTTTTTTAATGAAAATGATTTATCCTACCATTTAAAAAAATATATATGTTTGGCTGATTGGTTGTGGACTTTGTTTTTATGGAAATTGGGAAAATTGCCATTCCTCTTATGCCAGAAGGTTGTTAGCTATCCCAAGTCATAAAGGACAGGACACCATCAGATCCTGAAGACCCTAGTCTGGCCCAGTTCTGCATAGCCTGGAGAGAGAACAGGCTCTTCTTTGAAGAAAGGACATGGGGCATTGATGACTATATTTTTCTGGCAGGAAACCACTGGGACTTATGCTTTAAAAATATTCGTATCTTAACAAAGTCGAAGATAGAAAGGTACCTATTTCTAGTACCTCCATTGTCCAAAACTATTTCCAGCACCTCCATTGTCTAAAAGCTTCTGCACACTAAAGCTAAAATTATGTTTTGCCATTGCTCTTGAAATAAATGCCAGAGAGGATTTCTGAATTGTATTCCAAGATTACTCTACTGAGCTGTTTCTGAAACAATAGCTGTCTTTTCCCACTCTGTTTAAGCTTGCAATTTTAACAACTTCACAATTTCCAAAGGTCCAAAATTTATCATTTTAATAATTCTAGCCATCAAGTCTCATGTTTAGTTTTCCAAGTCACAGCTCAGAAAATCGTCAAGATACCAGCCATGCAAATTCCAATTTCCAGCTTAAAATGAAAGTATCATAATCAAATCCAAGGCACTCTCATTCCTCTTGGAGGTCCCAAAACAAGCTATTCCTCTTAAGTGGGAGAGGGCTTAGAGGCCCCCAAGACCTTGCAAACAAGTAGGAAGGTCTAACCAGATATTTCTGAATGAACTATTACTGATACCTTTGTAAAAACTCAAGCTGTGCCTCCCATGCATAAATAGCAAGGTAGAATTCTAAACCACACATTCTAGTTGGTTATTTGGTCAGCCCCCAACTCAATTATTTTTCTGCATACCATTCCAATTGTGACATGTTCCATAAGCAGCAAGTAATACTACCTTCTCTATGTTCTGTTACAGGCACTAAACTAAACATTTTACATTTGTTATCTCATTTAATACTTACAAAAATCCCATTAGAATATATCATTATTCCCATTTTGCGGATTTACTAGAATAAATAGTTCTTCAAGCTTAAAAGTAGGGTGGCAGAGCTGAATTTTACTGTGCTTTTTAACTCTAAATTACCCTGCTTAGTACATAATACATACCAAATATTTGAACTGAATACCTCCCAATCCTTCTTCTAGTTATCCTTTAAAATTGTCAGTTTATGTATCTATCTTCATCAAGCAGCGAGAAATTTGTTGAGATCAAGGTTATTGTATTCTCTGTATCTAAAACACAGAAGGTACTCAATACCAGAATGAATGAATGAATGAAGTCTATGTAAATCCATAATTAGTTGGTATTATTAATTTGCTTGGGGTACCATAACAAAGTACCACAAACTGGGTGGCTTAAACAACAGTAATTTATTTTCTCACAGTTCTGGAGATTGGATATCCAAAATCGAGGTGTTGGCAGAATTGGTTACTTTGAAGACTGTAAGAGGACTGGCCAATCCTCTAACCTTGGCTTGTAGATGGCCAGCTTCTCTCTTTGGCTCATCATGTTGTTTTCCCTCTGTGTGTATTTCTGTGTCCAAATTATCACTCTTATAAAAATACTTGTCATTTTTGGATTCAGCCTCCCCTGATGACCTGACTTTAACTTGATGACCTCTATAAAGACCTTATTTGCAAATAAGGTCACATGCTTTCTTTTCTTTTTCTTTTTCTTTTTTTTTTTTTTTTTTTTTTTTGTGCTACAGAGTCACTCTGTCACCCAGGCTGGAGTGCAGTGGTACAATCTTGGCTCACTGCAACCTCCACCTCCCAGGCTCAAGCTATCCTCCTGCCTTTACCTCTTGAGTAGCTGGGACCACAGATGCATGCTACCATGCCTTCTAATTTTTTGTATTTTTCTAGAGATGAGGTTTCACCATGTTGCCCAGGCTGGTCTCAAACTCCTGAGGTCAAGCAATCCATCTATTTCAGCCTCCCAAAGTGCTGGGATTACCAGCATGAGCCACCGCGCCTGGCCGATAAGGTCACATTCTGAGGTACTGGGGGTTAGAACTTCCACATATGATTTTAGGGACAGGGAACATAATTCAACAGTGGGTATCAAAGTTATTTTCTACATGGGGCACAGCTGGCCATAATATAGTCCAGCTATTTGAAGGACATCACCTGATAAAGGCAGTGTCCAACAACAGGTGGAGATTGCAAATGTGTGAACACAGCAAAAAGTCCAGGGAGACATGTGCAGAGCCTTTGTGCTTCATAGATAGCCTAATCTCCCAGCAAAAAGCAAGCAATTAAATCTGCTGAAGGATGGCTCTATTTATTTACAATAGACTATAACCCTTTAGCAGGCAACCTGAAGCACAGGAACATGTTAAGGCATCATTCTTATAATCGGTCCTACATCACCCCTTCTGTATTCAAGTTGGCTCCCCAGGTGTAATAGAAATAGTCATGAACATTTTCTGTCCTCCCCAATTACTTTCTGCATATGCTCATTTGTCTTGGAGAAATAATTCCACCCACATAGCAACATACTCTTCGGTGAATTCTGAGCTGAGAAGAGAAAATATGTCTATCCCTTGTGCTCAGCCACGACCTCTCCTAGTGCCTGGAAAGTAGTGAATCTCACAGGACCATTTATTAGCCCTGCTATTCTAGGAAAGAATATCTTTTATCTGCCCTTAAAACTGTACTTCTTGGTGGTAATGAGAAAATCTGCTTTCATGTTCCCTGAATTCCCATACCTATGAAAGAAAAAAAGATACATAGGATTCCTATGCGTGGCTCCCAGGCTCAGCCAACCAGCTATTACACATGAACAGAAGAACTGTCCCACCCACCTACAGCACCAGGCCCTCTCACACACGCACAGCCTACAACTCCTCTCTGTTCACACTATGAGGAAAAGAGGCCACCAGGGATTGAAACCCTCTCTGCCCCTCTATTCACATGTTTTCTTCACTGTCTTTAGAGAATCCTAAGTCCACAGCACATCCTCCTTCTGTAACAGTGGCCTAGAGGAGATTTTCAGAAGATCATCTTATCCAATCCCCCCAGCGGGACATCACCTGTCTTTCTTTCACTTTTTCCTACTATGTGTTCCTCAAGCTGCAACTTTAAGGTTTCACATAATTTTGATCATGTCATCTCTTCCAGAAATTGATTTCATTCCCCAGTCGATCTGTTAAATTTTTCTCCAATCTTTCAAATCCTTCTTGTTTAAATTTAAATCCATTATTTCTATTCTTATCTTTGCTAACTAATGAGAATTGTTTTTTCTGCTTTGGCAAACTCCCAAGTTGTGTGTATAATTGCATTCACATCTTTTTGTGTGTTTTCTCTCATATTTGTAAAGGTTACCACAATTTTGAAGAAAATCTTGTTTTAATTAAAATATATACACAATTTCATTCTTTCCCAGAAACCCATTGCACATTTATTTTCCATAATATTTGTTTCTTTAGGAAAATGCAGAAGTAATAGAAAGATGTTTCTCAGATACTATTTAAAACTACAATCTATTATCAAAACTACTACTAGAAGTCCACTACTGAATGACTTCATAATTGAAGCAACTTAGCCAACACAGATTATTTGACTACCATACAATTTTATAGGATGATATATTCCCAAAATTCTAATTCCTTTAATAAATTGCTAAAATTCGATCTACCCCTCACCTGATACATGATGAATAGAGAACAGTGACTCTCCATATTTCCCCCTTCTGAGTTGTCAGTGGTTTTAACAGACACAGAGAGGATTTAGTTACATTGCTTAAGAAATAACACAGTCAATTGACAGGTATTTACCAAGAATTTACTGTGGATATAATACTGCTAGAAACAAATGAGGATATAACAAAAATATAGTTTTTCTTTTCCTTTCTCTTTAATAATCCCAATCTCCGTAGCAGAAATGTCTCTGTCATCCTCTTCCTGATCTTACAATTTCTTATCCTGTTTTCCTCCAAATCAATCATTATGTCAAATGACCACAGCCTAATCCATATGAGGCTCTTCCTGGCAAAAGATAAACACTTTGCTTCTCCCTCAACACCCTCCCACACACATTGAATCTCCTGTTTTCTCCCACCATGGAGTAAATTTCAAGTTACTCAACAATATCAATGCCCACCTCCCAACCTCACTTGCTCCTGACCCAGGTCAGGCCTCTGTCCCTCTGTAAACGCATTCACCTCCATAACCAGTCAGCTCCATGACTGCTTCAGCCACTTTCACCACTGCCCTCTAGACTCTGTTGAGCACACAGAACTCCTAACCAGTAATTTTATATCAGCATTCTTCAAAAAGAGAACTCTTGGGGATACATAACGATTTTCTAAGGGATACACAGCCAAATATAGTTTTAAGAGAATAGTTTTCCAGATACTCACCTTCCCTATATGTTCTTTTACAAAATTGATCTGTCTGAAAATGGTTTTAGATGGGAGCCTTCATGACAGTTTCCCCCGCCTCACCTTTTTCAATTTCATATTTGTTCTTTTCTCCTCTATATAAACACACAAACATATACATACATACACACATATGTACTTAGGTAAATAGAAAATAAACAAAATCTCTCATTCCAAATTTTACTATATCTTAATGGCTTGAAATATTGAAAACCTCCAGGGTCCCAGAGAAAAAAAATTAAACTATGAGTACTAATGGCTTCTTTAACAAAAACTTCGTAAATCATTGTTAGGCCTCACGTTTGTTTGCTTGTTTTTATATTATACAGGTTTCTGTTAAGAGCAAAGTGTGGCATAGAAGTAGGGGATTTTGGCCTCTGTAGGGATGTAATGGATGTACATGTTGCACACAATAAAGCAGAGGGAGTGATAATGAGTTTAAGAACCTCGTGTCTCCCATCACTCTACTATTTACAAAAAGTGCATCACTGTTAAAGGAGAGCCTAAGAAAATAAAGCATAGAGTGTATGGGTAAGAAATTTTGAAAGCAGTGGAACTGTATTTTATTTAGGCAATAACTCCTAGTAAGGCTCTGTGATCTGTCTATTCTAAAGTAACATTAAGAAGTGAGATATCAGGGAGTGTGTCTTAACACATTTACATGAATTGATAAATGAGATCAGATTTGTCTGAGAGAAAGTAATTCTAACTTACCTAAATGGTTTGATAGTGAAAACCGGCTTTGCCTATTTGGTTATATGACAGATGTGTTCCATAATTTGAATGCTTTAATCTGTCATGCCAAAGTTTTGATGAAAAAATATTTAAAGCAAATGATATAATAAATGCAATTTACCAAACAATTTCTGTATTGGCAAAGGTATAGAAATTAACAATGTTTCAATGTTTCCAAAAGTTTCCTAATATATCAGTTGTTTTTAAAAAGTGCCTCTAAATGAAAGAGAAACAGATACAATTAATAGTCAATTGAAATTAATAGTCTTAGTGAAACCCTTTCAACTAAGCTCACCAGACATTTAGAAACTAAATAAATATAAAGGCTATTCTGCAAATTCTTTTATAATTCTTTGCTCTCAACAAAAGTGAAGAACAGATCATGATGAAAGAGTATTAAAAATATTTTTTGGTGATACATTATTGTGGATTTTGGTTTCTACCGCAAAAAGGAATTCAAATAGTTGTGAGATATTGTTGTTAAAAATAAACCCCTTCCATTCTTATTCAAGGTTTCCAGTCCATTCCATTCCCATATTCATAGAATAGAAATAGAATTGATATTGAACCCTCTTTTATTCCAACTATGCATCCCCAAGAAAAGGCCTACCCAACTGATTTAAAAGTGCATTTCTAAAAATCTCATGCTCAATAATTTTTATCAAAATTTATAATACATTTCTATATTGCCAATTGTGTACTAATAAAAGTCTTAAGGATAGCTTACTCTTCAAGAAAAGTTTTTTAAGACTTATAGCATTCTGGTTGCAAAGTAATCAATCAAATTTTTTATTTCCATTAGGATAAAATTCTGTTATAAAAATGAAATCAAAACATAGGCTCAAGCAGTAAAAGCTATAAAAAAATCTTTTTAAAGAGGACCTTGTTTTTAATCTTTATTTACTTACTTTTTATCAAAGTATAGTGTCTAGTCAGCATATATTCAGAAAATTTTAAAAATCTTAAGTGTAACTCAATAAATTTCCGTAAAATAAACATGGAAAACACATGACATTTTTACAAAGTGAAGCTGTAAAACAGCACCCAGATTAAGATTACGAATGTCACCAGGACCCCAAAAGCACTTGGTGCCCTCTCTTAATCATTATCCTCCAAAGGTAACCACAATCCTTATTTCCAATGTCCAATGATAAGGTATGCCTGTTTTTGATCTTTATATAAATGGAATTATATGTTATGTACTTTTTTTGTCTTCTTTCACTCAGCATTATGTTTGTCAAGTTCATCCATATTCATATATTGTGTACTTGTATTGTGATGAGTATAAAGTATTTATTTTAAACTACTAACTTCACAGTATGGGAGAAACTACATATTTGAATCTATTTAGACATGTAAAGAAAAATTTTGGATATCATCTTGAAATCATGCATGATTATTTATTTAATGCCCTTGGGCCTCAATTTTATCATATGTAAAGTGGGATTAAAAGACTTTTACCTCAGAGTTGAAGTGTTCCTTTTTCACTGCATCCTGCCAGCATCTATTTTTTTTCATTTTTTGATTATGGCCATTCTTGCAGGAGTAAGGTAGTATCGCATTGTGGTTTTGATTTGCATTTCCCTGATCATTAGTGATATTGAGCATTTTTTCATATGTTTGTTGGCCATTTGTATATCTTCTTTTGAGAATTATCTATTCATGTCCTTAGCCCACTTTTTGATGGGATTGTTTGTCTTTTTCTTGCTAATTTGTTTAATTTTTGGGAGATTCTGGATATTAGTCCTTTGTCAGATGCACAGATTATGAAGATCTTCTCCACTCTGTGGGTCATCTGTTTACTCTGCTGACTGTTCCTTTTGCCATGCAAAAGCTAAACCACTATGGAAAACAGTGTGGAGATTCTTTAAAGAACTAAAATTAGAACTACCATTTGATCCAGCAATCCCACTGCTGGGTATATAACCCAGAGGAAAAGAAGTCATTATACAAAAATATACTTTCATATGCATGTTTATAGCAGCACAATTCACATTTACAAGAATGTGGAACCAACCCAAATGTCCATCAATCAAATATATATATATATATATATATATGTATATATATATGAATACTACTATGTATTCATATATGAATACATATATATATATATATATATATATATATATATATATATATATATGAATACTACTCAGCCATATAAAGGAATAAATTAATGGCATTAGCAGCAGCCTGGTTGGGATTGGAGACTATTATTCTAAGTGAAGTAACTCAGTAATGGAAAACCAAACATTGTATGTTCTCACTCATAAGTGGGAGCTAAGCTATGAGGATGCAGTCATAAGAATTACATAGTGGAATTTGGGGACTCAGGGGGAAAGGGTGTGAAGGGGGTGAGGTAAAAAAGACTACATATTGGGTTAAGTGTATACTGCTCGGGTGATGGGTACACCAAAATCTCATAGATCACCACTAAATAACTTACTCATGTAACCAAATACCATCTGTTCCCCCAAAAACCTACAAAAATTAAAAATTTTAAAAATAAATAAATAAACAGAGTTGCTGAGAGGTCATGCATAAAAAGTTCTTGCCACAGTTCCTGACACATGTATAAATAGCAGCCATTGTTGCCTTCCAACTCTTCATCCCAACTTTAACAACATTCTCCCCAAATACTTTGTCCACACTGAACCCCAAGTATTATAACAAAACTCATAAATGAATATGTTCCTTTCATGTGTAGATTAACCTTGTTCTAGCTTTTTATTACTTGGAGTATGTGGTCTAAGCACTCCTGTATGACTTGCAATGACAACCTACCAGACCCATGCCTATCTCCTCTGTAATTTAGGGTTGCCAATACCCCTTTCAACAGATGGATGAAAAGATTAACTGAAAAAAATAATAAAAGAAAGATGAAAAGAAAAAAAAAGAAAAGCTTAATATATGTATGCAAAGTACTTGGCCTGAAGAAGATGTGTAACAAATGGTAGCTATTTAGAAAAGAAGGAAGGAAGAAAGAAAGGAAAGGAGAAAAGCAGGGAAGAGAAAAAGGAAGGGAAAAAGGAAAGTAAAGTTATTGCATAATCTGATGTTGGTGTTAGAAGACCTACCTTCGTCTAATGGTCTTGATACCCAATTCAAAGCCCATGTGGATAGAAATGGCATAAATAAAATAAGTGGAATACATTATTTTACCCAATTTTTTAGATGAGAAAACTTCAATTCTTAGAGATTAAATGATTTGCCCAAGGATTCACAGGGAATTAGTGGCAGTGAGTATTCTCATGTGAATCTGATTCCACAGCCATACCTTTTTGCTCCATTCCACTGCCTCTCTGAAATATTCCAATGTTAATATGGTATCTCAAATATATCCCACTCCTAGGAAGAGATAATTTTCTCTCTGAGCCTCAGGGTCTACCCTGTAAACTTGAGTTCATAATAATCATTGACTTTTAAATGAGTTAATATATGTAAAGTGCCTCAAGTAGCACTCAATAAGGGTTATTTTGTTGTTGTTTTAAACACTCAATTCTCTGGGTTTCTGATTTAAATAGAAAATCAGTGTATAAGCCTTTGGCCTACATAAAACAGATATCTCAGGGGAGCATTATATCCCTTTTGCTTAAGGTAAATACCAGCATTCTGATATACCCTTGGCTCTTTTCCTAATTGTTACCATAGGACTTTAATATTCCTGTGAACTCAAGCCCCAATAACATGTGCTAAATAAATAGTAATTCAAAAATTAGTTATTAAAATTTCTTCCCTTAAAAAGTTTGCAACAACCTGTGAAATTAGGACGTATCTCAGAAACAAATCAACTGTGTTTTATGTGGTCCAATTCATCAAATAAACTTGCCATTGTATCCTATTTTTAAAAATTCAAATTCTGCCTATAGTTCCTAAAGGTGTCATGAAGTTTAGTTTAAAATACAAATATTTTCCATTAGTATTATTTTGGTAGTAATACTGATATCTGAGATTCTACGACATTCCAGTTTAAAATGTGTTTTTACAGTTATTGCCTATAATTTTTCTCATATGAATATGTGTTTGACCAGGCATATTGTAAATACAAACATCACTTACTACGTTCATGGCAAGGTGAAAATGAATGGTTCATTTTGAAGAATAATTTAAATAATTTTTATCTATATAATATGGGGGGCTTACCTGAATAGATTTAATATTGTTCAATAGAAATTAATTGACTATTATTGCCATAGTGGATTGGACTGATAGCATAAAGATGGCTCGGATATAGTTCCTACCCTTTGGCAGGATCCAGCCCATAGGAGAGGCACCTTCTAACTGAGATAAATTTCTCAATTGTACATTCTCCAAGCATGCTTAGCTCTTAATACACTTTGTAGCTAAGCATTTATTTATGTTATCATCTGCTAACTGTCTCTCAAATTGGCAAAGCTCTATGATAGCAGTATCTATTTCTGGTTTTGCTCAGCATTACACTCCCAGTGCCCAGCAGAATTCGGTTTACATATTAGGGATTCAATAAATTTGCTTATTTGTTCATTCAACAAATATCTGTTGTGAGCGCCTATGATATTCTAAGTGCTTGAGATGTATGGGTGAAGAAAACAAGAAGCCCTTTGGAAAGTGACATATAATAAATGTATTGCTGTATCTAAGAAAAGAGAGAAAAGCAATAAGAATTTCAAATAAAAGCATAATGTATGTTAGAAGAACATCAGTGTTATATTTTTTAAAAAGAATGAAGGCAGGGTAAGGGGAGTTGGGAGAGCTGATGGGGTGGGGCAAGTTGCCATTCAAATAAGAGTGATAATACTGGGCATCATGAAAAGGTGACATCAGAAAGAGATTTAGTGGGAGCAGTTAGCCTGCAGACATGTTGAGAAAGAACATGGCAAACTAGAGAAACTGCACTGCAAAGGCTTTAAGGAAAAATAACACTGGTGTATTCCAGGAACTGGAAAAAGGGCACTGTGGTATAGGGGAAATGCAGGCAGAGTAATAAGGAGTGACTACACAGAAGTCATTGGGAACCAGAATGCAGGTCTTATTGGTGGCTATAAGGACCTTGGCTTTTATTCTGTGTGTAATCTAGAGCTATTGCAGGACTTCGAGCAGCAGAGTTATATGACTTGACTTAATTTTACAAGAAACATCTCGTTACTGTGTTGAGAACACATTAAAGGGGATGAAGAGTAAAATCAGAGAAAAAATCAAAAAGCTATTGCCACATGAGATATGAGAATGAGAAATTGTGATGATTATGGTGGCTTGGACCAGCAGATGAGTATTGGCATGGAGAGAATTGGTTCAGATTCTGGATAACATATATGCACACATATGTATAAACACCTCTCATGTCAAGGAGGAAAATATTCCCAGCACCTCAGAAGTCTACTCTTTTCCCCTCCAAATCCCTTTTCCCCAAAGGTAACAACTATCCTGATTTTAACACCATTTACCTATTTTCAATCATTATATAAATGGAATAAACAATATATATCCTTTGGTGTCTTCTAACTTTTGAAATTGATTGCATGTAACTGAAGTTCATTTATATTTGGATATAGTGTTTAAGTGTATAAATATGCATTAATTTATTTATCCATCTTACTGTTGTCAAACATTAGTTCTTCCCAGCCTGTGCCCTGTGAATAATGCTACCATAAACATTCTTATATATGTATTTTGTGTCAAATTTCTATTGATGATATTCCTGAAAGTGGAAATATTAGGTAATAAGTTATGGATATGTACAACTTTAGTAGATAGAGTTAAGCAATTTCCCAAGCTGGGTTTTATCAACTTAAACTTCTATGAGCAGAGTATAAAGCATTCCTATTGCTCTGCATCAGTCTTTTTAAATTTTAGCCATTTTGTTGAATGTGTAGTGGCATGAGCGGATTTAGTTTACATTTCCCTGATGACTCAAAAAGCTGAGCTCTTTTTCAGATGTTTATTGACCATTTGAAGATCTTCTTTTGTGAAGTGCTTCCTCAGGGGTCTGCTGATCTATTGGATTATATATAGCTTTTTCTTACTGATTTTTAGGAATTCTTTCTGCATTTTGGGAACAAGACCTTTGTCAACTGCATGAATTGCAAATATCTTCTATTGTGTGGTCTGCCTTTTCACTTTCCTTATAGTGTCTTCTGATAATTAGAACTTCTTCATTTTAATTTAGTACAACCTACTAATATTTTCTTTACTGTTAGTGCTTTTTGTTGAGAAATCTTTCCTTATGCCAAGATCATAAAGACCTTTTTTGTTATGTTCTAGAAATTGTTTTTGTTTACTATTTATATTTAGATCTACTATCCAAGTAGACTTACTTATTATGATGTAAGTTAGAGGTCAACTTTCATTTTTTCCCATATGAATATTCAGTTAACCCAGCACCATCTATCAATTGTTTCATCTCTTTTCTATACTGCAACCTTTATGATAAATTTAGCATTCATGATTGTGTATATCTGGTTTTAGACCCTTTATTCTGTTCTATTGATCTACCATCAACTACTGTGGCTTTTAACCCAAATATTTCATACCACAAGTAGTCCATATTTTTCTTCTGCTTTAAGAGTATTTTCAATATTCTTAGCCCTTTGCATTGCCATATAAATTTTAGAATCAGCTTGTTAACTTACATTTAAAAAAACAAACTGCTGATATTTCCGTTGGGATTTAAATCCATACATGAATTAGAGGAGAAGTAACATCTGTATCATATTGCAACCTCTAATCAATGAACCTGGTATATACTTCCATCAATTTATGTCTTTATATCAATAATGCTTTACAGATTGAAGAAGACTTACATAAGTTTTATTTGATTTATAGCTGTATTAGTCCATTTTCATGCTGCTGTTAAAGACATACCTGAGACTAGGCAATTTGCAAAAGAAAGAGGTTTAATTGGACTTACATGGCTGGGGAAGGGAATGCAAGGAGGAGCAAGTCATGTCTTACACGGATGGCAGCAGGCCAAGAGACAGAGTTTGTTCAGGGAAACTCCCCCTTATGATAATCATCAGATCTAATGAGACTTACTCACTATCACAAGAACAGCATGGGAAAGACCTGCCCCATGATTCATTTACCTCCCACTGGGTCCCCCCCACAACACATGGGAATTCAAGATGAGACTTGGGTAGGGACACAGCCAAACCATATCAGTCCACCTCTGTCCCCTCCCCAACCTCATGTCCTCACATTTCAAAACCAATCATGACTTCCCAACCGTCTCCCAAAGTCTTCCCTCATTTCAGCATTAACTCAAAAGTCCACAGTCCAAAATCTCATCTGAGACAAGGCAAGTCCCTTCTGCCTATGAGCCGGTAGAATCAAAAGCAAGCTAGTTACTTCCTAGATACAATGGGGGTACAGGCATTGCATAAATACAGCCATTCCAAATAGGAGACATTGGCCAAAACAAAGGGGTTATAGGACCCATGCAAGTCCAAAGTCCAGTGGGGCAGTCAAATCTTGAAGCTCCAAAATGACCTCCTTTGACTCCATGTCTCACACCCAGGTCTCGCTGATGCAAGAGTTGGGTTCCCATGGTCATGGGCAGCTCTGCCCCTGTGGCTTGGCAGAGTACAGCCTCCCTCCTGACTCCTTTCACAGGCTGGCATTGAGTGTCTGAGGCTTTTCCAGGTGCACAGTGCAAGCTATCAGTGGATCTACCATTCTGGGGTCTGGAGGATAGTGGCCCTCTTCTCACAGCTTCACTAGGCAGCATCCTTGTAGAAACTCTGTGTGGGGAATCTGACCCCACATTTCCCTTCCTCACTGCCCTAGCAGAGGTTCTCCATGAGAGCCCCATCCCAGTAGCAAACTTTTTTGCCTGGGCATCCAGGCATTTCCACACATCTTCTGAAATCTAGACAGACATTCCTAAATGTCAATTCTTGACTTCTGTGCACTGGCATGCTCAGCACCACATGGAAGCTGCCCAGGCTTGGGGCTTCCACCCTCTGAGGCAACAGCCCGAGCTGTGCCTGTGGCCCGTTTTAGTCACAAATGCAGTGACTGGGATGCAGGGCACCAAGTCCCTAGACTTCACACAGCATGGGGACCCTGGGCCTGGTCCATGAAACCACTTTCTCCTAGGCCTCTGGGCCTGTGATGGGAAGGGCTGCCATGAAGACCTCTGACATGCTCTGGAGACATTTTCTCCATTGTCTTGGAGATTAACATTCGGCTCCTCATTACTTACGCAAATTTCTGCAGCCAGGTTGAATTTCTCCTTACAAAATGGGATTTTTTTTTTTTCTATCACATTGTCAGGCTGCAAATTTTCCAAATCTTTATGCTCTCCTTCGCTTATGAAACTGAATGACTTTACCAGCACCCAAGTCACCTCTGGAACGCTTTGCTCCTTAGAAATTTCTTCCATGGGATACCCTAAATCATCTCTCTCAAGCTCAAAGTTCCACAAATCTCTAGGGCGGGACAAAATGCTGCCAGTCTCTTTGCTAAAACATAACAGGAGTCACCTTTGCGACAGTTCCCAACAAGTTCCTCATCTCCATCTGAGACTACCTCAGCCTGGATTTCATTGTCCATATCATTATCGGCATTTTAGTCAAAGTCATTCAACAAGTCTCTAGGGAGTTCAAACTTTCCCATATTTTCCTGTCTTCTTCTGAGTACTCCAAACTGTTCCAACCTCTGTCCGTTACCCAGTTCCAAAGTCGTTTCCACATTTTTGGGTGTCTTTTCAGCAACACAACACTCTACTGGTACCAATTTACTGTATTAGTCCATTTTCACACTGCTGATAAAGACATACCCGAGACCGGGCAATTTACAAAAGAAAGAGTTTTAATTGGACTTAGAGTTCCACATGGCTGGGGAAGCCCCACAATCATGGTGGAAGTCACAGAGAAGCAAGTCACATATTACATGGATGGCAGCAAGCAAAAAGAGAACTTGTTCACAAAAACTCCCCCTTATAGAAACCATCAGATCTCGTGAGACTTACTCACTATCATGAGAACAGCACGGAAAAGATCTGCCCCCATGATTCAATTACTTCCCACCAGGTCTCTCCCACAACACATGGGAATTCAAGATGAGATTTGGGTGGGGACACAGCCAAACCATATCAATAGCCAACATGCTACTGTAAATAGTCATCTTTGCATTTGATTTTCTAACTTGTCTAGCTATATAGAAATATATGAAAATGTGTATATGACCTTGTACAAAGAAACTTGATAAATTAACTTATTAATTATAACATTCTGTCTGTAGACTGTTTTGAGTTTTTGATGTATGCAATCATATCATTAAAAACAAAATTTCCATATCTTTCAAATCCCAGTAGCTTTTAATTTTTTTATGTATTTTTATAATTTCAACTTTTATTTTAGATTCAGAAGGTATATGTACACATTTGTTACATGAGTATATTACGTGATGCTGAGGTCTGGGGGTATGATTGATCTCATCACCCAGGAAGGGAGCATAGTGCCCAGTAGTTAGTTTTTTGACCCTGTATCTCTGCCAGATTTTGATATCAGGGAGATGTTGGCTTCATAGAATCCATTACGGAGGAGTCTGGCCTCTTCAATTTTTTTGGAATAGTTTCAGTAGAATTGGCTCCAGATTTTCTTTGTATGTCTGGTAGAATTTGGCTATGATTCCATCTGGTCCAGGGCTTTTTTGGTTGATAGGTTTATTACTGATTCAATTTCAGAACTCAATATTGGTCTATTCAGGGTTTCAATTCTGTCCTGACTCAATCATAGGAATTTATATGTTTCCGGGAATTTATCTATTTTCTCTAGATTTCCCAGGTAATGTGCATAGAGTTGTTTGTAACACTCTCTGAGGATCATTTAGATTTCTGTGGGATTAGCTGTAATGTCACCTTTGTTGTTTTCTGGTTTTGCTTATTTTGGTCTCCGTTTGTTTCTTTGTTAATTTAGTTAGTGGTCTATAGATCTTGTTTATCCTTTCAAAGAAGAACTGTTGGTTTTATCGATTCTCTGTATGAATTTTTGGGTCTTGATGTCATTTGTCTCTGCTCTGATTTTATTTATTTATTTTCTTCTGTTAGTTTTGGGGTTAGTTTGTTCTTGTTTTTATAGTTCCACTAAGAGTGATGTTAGATTGTTAAATGGAAATCTTTCTAACATTTTGAAATAGGCATTTAGTGCTACAAACTTTCCTCTTAACACTGCTTTTGCTGCATCCAGGAGATTTTGGTATATTGTGTCTCTGTTTTCATTATTTGATTTCTTCCTTAATTTCATTGTTTACCCAAAATCATACAGAAGCAAGTTGTTTAATTTCCATGTAATTTTGCATTTTCGAGAGATCTTCCTGATGTTGAGTTCTATTTTTATCCCACTGTGGTCTAAGATTAAGGTTGGTATGATTTTAATCGTTTGGGATTTATTGAGACTTACTTTATGACTGAGCATGTAATTGAGCTCAATGTGTGTTCCATGTGCAGATGTACATTCTGTGGTTGATGAGTATTCTGTAGATGTCTATTAGTTCCAATTGGTCAAGTGTCGAATTGAAGTCCGGAATTTCTTTGTGAGTTTTCTGCCTTGATGATCTGACTAATGCTGTCAGTGGGTTGCTGAAGTCTCCCACTATTATTGTGTGGCTAAGTCTTTTCACAGGTCTAGAAGTACTTGTTTTATAAACCTAGGTGCTCCAATGCTGGGAGCATGTATATTTAGGGTAGTTAAGACTTCCTGATGAACTGAACCTTTTATCATTAAGTAATTTCCTTCTTTAATTTTTTTTTACTGTTTTTGGTTTAAAGTCTATTTTATCTGATACATAAATAGTGACCCCTGCTCTTTTTTGTTTTCCATTTTCTTAATAGGTCTTTCCAACTTTGAGCCTATATGTGTCATTTGAGATGGGTCTCTTGAAGACAGCAGAGAGATAGGTCTTGCTTTTTTATTCAATTTGCCACTCTGTGCCTTTGGAGTGGGGGCATTGAGACCATATACGTTCAAGGTTAATATTGATATGTAAGATTTTAATCATATTGAAGTTTTTATTTGGTTGCTTTGTAGTTTCTATAGTCTGGTTGCATTATAGGATCTGCAGGCTATTTTCTTAAGTGTGTTTTTATGGTGCCTGCTATTATTCTTTCAATTCCATGTTTAGAAGTCTCTTAAGGATCTCTTGTAAGGCTCACCTAGCAGTAATGAATTCCCTTAGTGCTTATTGTCTGGAAAAGATTTTATTTCTCCTTCACTGATGAAACTTAGTTTGGCAGGATATGAAATTCTTGGTTGAAATTTATTTTCTTTAAGAATGCTGAAAATAGGCCCCAGTGTCTTCTGGCTTGTGGGGCTTCTGCTGAGAAGTCTGTTGTTAGAAGTCTGATAGGGTTCCCTTTGTATGTGATCTGATCTTTTCTCTAGCTGCCTTTAAGATTTTTTTCTTTGGTGTTGACACTGGACAATCTGGTGACTACATATGCCTTGGTGATGTTCATTTTGTATAGTATCTCACACATGTTCTGTGGATTTCCTGTATCTAGATGTCTTATTCTCTAGCAAGATTAGGGGAATTTTCTTGAATTATTCCCTCAAATATGTTTACCAAGTTGTTTACTTTTTCTCCTTCTCTCTCAAGAATGCCAATAATTCATAGGTTTGATCACTTTACATAATCCCATATTTGTCAAATCTGTTCATTTTTTAAAATTCTTTTTTCTTTATTTTTGTTTGACTGGCTTAGTTCTGAAGACTGGCATTCAAGCCATAAAATTTTTTCTTCTGCTTGGTCTAATCTATACATAAAGCTTTCAACTGAATTTTGAAATTCCTTAAGTGAGTTTTTCAATTCCAGAAGCTCTGATTGATGTCTTTTTAAGATATTCATCTCTTCCTTTATTTCCTGGATTGCTTCAGGAGCTTGTGTTGATTTTCAACCTTGTCTTGCATCTCATTGAGCTTCCTTGTAATCCACACTTTGAATTTTTCATTTGTTATTTCTGAGTTTCCAATTTGATTAGGGACCTGATATGGTTTAGCTCTGTGTCCCCACCCAAAACTCATGTTGAATTGTTATCCCTAATGTTGGCAGTGAGGTCTGGTGGAAGGTGATTGGATCATAGGTGTGGTTTCTAATGGTTTAGCACCATCCCTCTAGTTCTGCCTTGTGATAGAGTTCTCCCGAGATCTGCTTGTTTAAAAGTGTGTAGCACCTGTCCCCCTTCCTCCTGCTCCCACTATGTAAGACATGCTTGCTTCCCCTTCCCCTTCCACCATGACTGGAAGTTTTCTGAAGCCTCCCCAGCAGTAGAAACCTGTCCTGCAAAATCATTAGCTAATTAAACCTCTTTTCTTTATAAATTACCCAGTTTCAATTATTTCTTTATAGCATTGCAAGCACAGACTAATACAGAAAATTACTACCAGAGAGGTAGGGCATTGCTATAAAGATACCTGAGAATATGGAAGCAACTTTGGAACTGAATAATGGGCAGAGGTTGGAACAGTTTGGAGGGCTCAGAAAAAGACAAAGGAGATGAGGGAGACTTTGGAACTTCCTGGAGTTTTGTTAAATGGTTGCAACCAAAATGCTGACAGTAAAAGGGACAGTGAAGTCCAGGCTAAGGAGGTCTCAGATTGAGATGAGGAACTTATTGGGGACTGGAGTAAAGGTCACTCTTGCTGTGCTTTAGTAAACAGACTGGTAATATTGTGCCTGGGCTCTAGAGATCTGTGGGAATTTGAACTTCAGAGAGATGATTTAGGGTATCTGGCAGAAGAAATTTCTAAGCACGTTCAAAATGTAGCCTGGCTGCATCTAAAAGCCTATACTCATTTCCATAAGCAAAGAAATGATCTGAAACTGCAATTTATATTTAAAAGGGAAGCAAAGCATAAAAGTTCAAAAAATTTGCAGCCTGGATATAAGGTAGAAAAGAAAATCCCATTTTCAGGTAAGGAATTAAATCCTTCTGCAGAAATTTGCCTAAGTAAAGAGGAGCCCAATGTTAGTAGCCAATACAATGGGGAAAATGACTGGAAGGTATTTCAAAGACCTGCATGGCAGGCCCCCCCAACCACCAAACCCTTCCTCCATCACAGGCCTGGAGGCCTAGGAGGGAAGAGTGGTTTCATGGGCAAGGCCCAAGGCTCCACTGCCCTGCACAACCTCAGGACACTGCTCCCTGTGTCCCAGCCACTCCAGCTCCAACTGTGGCTAAAAGGGTCCCAGATACATTTCAGGCCACTGCTTGAGAGGGTGCAAGCCACAAGCCAAGGTTTTCATGTGGTATTTAGCCTTCAGGTGTGCAGAGGGCAAGAGTTGAGGCTTAGGAGTCTCCACTTAGATTTCAGAGGATGTATAAAAATGCCTGGATGTCCAGGCAGAAGTCTGCTGAAGGGGCAGAGTCCTTATGGAGAACCTCTACTGGGAAAGTGAAGAGGGAAAATGTGGGATTGGAGACCACACACAGAGTTCCCACGGAGCACTACCTAGTGTAGCTGTGAGGAGAGGGCCACCATCCTCCAGACCATAGAATGGTTGATCCACTGTCAGCTTGTATCATGTGCCTGGAAAAGCTATGGGGGTGCTCAATACCAGCCCATGAAAGCAGGTGCAAAGGCTGTACTGTGGAGCCATGAGGCAGAGCTGCCTAAGGCCTTAGGAGCCCACCCTTTGGATCAGTGTGGCCTGGATGTGAGACATAGAGTCAAAGAAGATTATTTTGGAGCTTTGGGATTTAATGACTTCCCTGCCGGGTTTTGGACTTGCATGGGGTTTGTTGCCCCTTTGTTTTGGCTGATTTATGTTTTTTCAAAAGGGAATATTTACCCAATGCCTATACCCCCCATTGTACCTTGGAAATAACTAACTTGTTTTGATTTTACAGGCTCATAGGTGAAAGGGACATTCCTTGTTTCACGTGAGACTTTAGATTGCACTTTTGTGTTAATGCTGAAATGAGTTAAGACCTGGGGGACTGCTTAGAAGGGATGATTGTATTTTGCAATGTGAGAAGAGCATGAGATTTGGGAGGGGCCAGGGACAGAATGATAGGGTTTGGTTCTGTATCCCCACCCAAATCTCATTTTGAATTACAATCCCCAATGTTGGAGATGGGGCCTGGTGGGAGGTGATTGGATCATTGGGGTTGTTTCTAATGGTTAGGCACCTTTCCCCCAGTGCTGTCTCATAATAGAGTTCTCCCAAGATCTGCTTGTTTGAAAGTGCGTAGCACCTCCTCCCTCTCTCTTCTCCCTGTTCCTGCCATTTAAGACATGCTTGTTTCCTCTTCACCTTCTGCCATGACTGTAAGTTTCCTGAGGCCTCCCCAGAAGCAGAAGCCTGTACAGCCTACAGAACCATGAGCTAGTTAAATCTCTTTTCTTTATAAATTACTCACTTTCAGGTATTTCTTTCTTTACAGCAGTGTGAGAACAGACTAATACAGACCATTGCTGGAGATCTAGTGTGATCCTTTGGTAGTGTGACTACACTCAGATTTTTTATGGTGTCAGAATTCTTATGCTGGTTCCTTCTCATCTGAGGATGATGACATTTTTAATTTTTGTAATGATTTTCATGCAGGTAGAATTTTTTCTTTTGCTTTCTTTCTTTCCCTATAATATTATTGCTTATTTTTCTTTCCCTTTTTCTCCTTCCCTAGAGAGTGTGACATAGAGAATGCTGTGTTGTGTCTTTTGGCTTCGCTCCTACAGCCCTACTCACTTCTTTTGACAGATATTATATTGGGCTGTGCAGTTTGACCTACAAGGTACCAAATGGCATTTATGGGTGAGAGCCAGCCATAGCCAATGCAGCTGGGTATTTACTTGATCCTTGTTTAGTGGGAGAAGCTCTCTATTACATCAGCCAATGGGCTGATCTGAGGAATGAGCAATGAGCTCCCTATTCAGCCCCAGGTAGACGGGAACAACATACACAAACCAGGCAGACCCACCTACAGGTCCCACAATGGCAGGCAAAAACACCAGCACCAAGGGAGAATCCCATGGGCAGCCACCAAGCATGCAGAGGTGTGCCTAGCTGTGGAACTGGGAGACCTCCTCAGCCCCAGTTTCTCTGCGTGGGGAGTATGGGTAGCCTAAAGGCCTAACCTAGGAGAGTGGGATGCCTGGAAATGAAGCATAGAGGGCCCAGCTTCACAACAATTTCTGCAAAGGAAGGATGGGGCAGCTCAGGCTGCTTATCTTGGTGAGTAGTTGCTCCAATTGCCTGGAGCAAAGAAGGCACAGCTGCACCATGATCTTGGCACAGGAAGGATGGAGTGGTTTAGGTTGCTGGTCCAGGCAAGTAGATCCCCTGAAAGCCTATAGATCTGCCTGACCATAAAGTAGAGAGGGTCCTGCTGCACCACAATCTCTGTGCAGGAAGAGTGGGGCAGCTCAGGCTGTTGACCCAGGTGAGCAGGTCCTCTGAACGAATGCCTGGAGATCTGCCTGGGCATGGAGTGGGAAAGAGCTCCCCTGCACCAGTATCTCTGCACAGGAGGTTTGGGGCTACTTAGCCTACTAAACCAGGCAAGTGGGTACTCTGAATGCCAAGAGATCTGCTGAGGCATGGAGTGACGAGAGTTCCTCTATAGCATGATCTGTGTCCAGGAAGGAAAAGGCAGCTGCCTGAGCTGGACCTCCAGGCAAGTGAGTGCTCTAAATGCCTCTAGATATGCTGGAAGGTGGAGCAGAGGGCTCACTGTACCACCATCTCAGGGGAGCAGACCAGGACACCCAGCAATGGCACATGAAGATGTGCTCTAGGTCACCAAGCTTCCCCAGCTGCAAGTCTAGTTTCCCAAGAGAAACCACAGCTGTAGCAGCTCTCCTCGCACCCAAGGCCTGCAACGTGGGAGAGCATATTTCCAGTGTCCACTGCTGAGGCACTTTCCACAATTCTGGCTATAGAATCCCCTACCTCACTCCAGAGCAAGCACTCCAATCTCTGGCCTGAGACTAAAATGCCTGTGCAACCAAGCTGCCCAAGTAGCCAAAGAATCACTGACTTTATACACACCCACATTAAAAGTGGCATGCTCTCAGTCCCAGGTCTGGGAAAAATGCCTGCAGCCTGTCCCGGTTCTGGGGAATGCCTTCAGCTTTCCCCAGTGTCTTTCCCTCACAGAGTCTCTAAATGTGTGCCCAAGTTAGCTCCAGGGTTTGGGAGAAACAAAGTGCTCTCCCTTGGCCTGGGTTGCTTGGATCCCCACTGGAAAGCTGAGTCACAAAGAGAGGTTCTCTGACTCTCTCACGTACTGGGGCTTCACTTATTTTTATTGACCAGATGCCATCATGGGGCCTGTTTGCCCACATTCTCCTCCCCAAGATCTGAGGCATCCTTCATGATTCTAGTGTGATTCTAGTGGAGTTCCATTTTCTGTCTTGAATTGAAGCCCGCAGAGTTGAATCTTGTGCACTATCTTGCTATTCATAATTCACCATCTTGGGAAAAGAAGCTTTTAGTTTTCCTTGCCTACAAAACAATGTTTAATAGAAATAAGGCCTTTCTTTCTCATTTTTAGCTCAGAGGAAACCTTTCAACATTTCTTCTTTAAGTATGATGTTTGCTGTAGGCTTTTTGTACATCTGCACCATAATCAGATTAAGGAACTCTTCCATCCCATTCTTAATTTCCTAAAGTTTTTATTATGAATGGAAGATAAGTTTTATAAAATTATTTTTCTGTATCTACTTTTCTCTTTTATTCTGTTAATGTTGTAAATTTAAAAAAATTATTCGCAAATGGTAAATACTCTTGCATTTCTGGACTATATTCCATTTGATCCTGATATAATAGCCTTTTTATATATTGCTAGATTCTGTTTATTAATCTTGATTTAGAATTTTGGTATCTCTGTTTATGAATGAGATTAGCCTGATATTTGCCTTACGCTGATTTCTCAGATTTTGCTTTTAAGGTTATGCTGGCCTCATAAACACATTGGAATGCAGTCACTCTTTTTTTTTTCTAGAAGACTTTGTATAAGATTGGCACTGTTGTTTGTGTGTGTGCGCGTGTGCGCATGCACATGCGTGTTTGTATACACACAAAAAATAATGTTTGGTAGAATTTTCCCAAAAGACTCCGGATCATAAGTTTCCATTTCGATGAAGGTTTAAAATGCTGATTCAATATAAAAGTTATATGATGGGACGAAAGAGCAGCAGTCCAGCAATCCATTTTCTTCTTTTACTGGAAAGACATCTTGGTAGAAAGACAGATGACCAAATCAAGTAAACATGCCAATGATAGACCGCCTCAACACCAACTCATTTTAGCATTAGGCACCCAGTATATCTTCTGATAGACTGGCCCATGGTGGGGAGAAATTTGTCATTTTCAAAATAATTTTTTCTTCATTGCACTAAGAATTAAACTTTGCTATTTCAATTTTCTCTACTCTTATTGGCTTAATTGTAAACACCTCCAAGTCAGGTGTTTTCTTCTAATGTTCACTTTTATTCACCACCTCAGGGTCCAACATAATGAACCAACTGATGGGAAAAGAATCAGAAGAAAACATTAATCTCCAGAATGCTATTTCCACAATTTCCATGTACTCATTAGGGAAAAAATGAACTATTGAAGCAAAAGTTATTTGAAGGTATCTTGTAATTAGCAGATAAAGCAAAACTGCTCGATCTTGAAGGTAAGATCAGTCCAAGTCTTTTCAATTGCCACACATGCCTTCACCAACATGTAGTCTCCCAAAGGAAGAACAAAGGGATAAATAAGATATTTGAGTTGACAGTTTGATATGAGAAACACTTATTTTTGGTGGGTTACCTCAGTCATAACTCAGCAACTATTTCCCATCACTTTCTACTAACACAAAAGGTAACCATTATGTTGTGATGTCATGTTCTTAGAAATGTGATTCAAGAGAGTCACAGTGCTCTTCAACATGCTTTCCTCTTTCCTTAATCATTTTCAAACTGGATAACTTACATTTGAAGTGACATGGAGAATGATTTTTTTCTTTATACAACAAGGTGGAGAGTGGGGAACCCTACTCTTTTAGAACAAACTCAGGGTTTCTCAAGTAAGTGTTAATCTATATTGCTGTCAAACAAATTATTTTTTCAATTAAGGCATAAGGGAACTCTTTGTATTTCTTAAAAATGAAAAACCTCTTTATTAATCCTCTTGGGTTGTGACATGGACAAAATTATCAATAAAATCATAGCCTTTATACAAGCCTCCAAAACCTTCAGAAACTGAACTGAACAGTTCTGATCCTCCATGGGCACAGCTCTTCCATTAGGTCAGGAACTGTTTTAAACTGCCGATATTCTTTAAATCTGTTATACACTCCACAAATAGAATTTTCTTTATTTCAACACAGAATTGGCTGTAATAACTGATTTGATCAGTCATATTTAGTTCAGCTCATATTCATACTATAATATTAAAGCGTGGAGAGATATAATGGTCCTACCGTTCTTCACAAACTCAGACTGCTATGACAATATACACTGAAGAGTTTGCATACTCTACAGTTCTACTGTTGTCATATACCCAAAGCTACTGTTTCTATTTCTAAAATGTCTTAGGACGTGGGAAAATAGTATGCTTTTTAAAAGACAGATAACTTACACTAAAGTATATCAAGCACCAGGAAACACTGTATTTATATAATTAGCACATATTGTATCCTCTTGTCATTAGCAAATTAGAAGCTTGGTAAGTATTTAAATATGAAAAGATAAAAGGGATGATAGAAGATGTACTAATAGCAAAATCTCATCTTGCATAAATGGAGTTTACTGGGATGAAATAAACATATTCTGAATTACTAACACAGGGTGGTTACCATTGCCCTAAAATATTACAGGGTGGCACTATTTACAATTATTGTCAATCCCCAATGTGCTAACTCAGAATGAATTTCTTCATATAACACTAGGTTATATTTAAGCAAATGACACAACAATCTATATAGGTGATAATATGGTTAAAAATGCATTTATTATGAAAAATATGGGAACACTAATAACTAAAAAATGTATAGGCAATAAAAAGCATCAAGACTACTATAATTTTGGTTTGTTTGTTTGTTTCAAGAATGCTTTGTTTTTGAAAAACAGAATTAATTTTGTAAGGAGATAGGGAGAAACTTTTCAAGAGATTCTGAAGGACAATTTTAAATGAGCTAGAAGTTGAGATAGTGGTCCCTGGGGGTGGTTCTCTTTTAAAATATTTCTAAGGAAGTCTGGAAAAAATTTATGTCTCTCAAGGAAAAAAATTGTTTTAGGATGTTGAGAGAAACAGAAAAAGATGTATATGATCACCAAGAGATGAATAAAAAAGCAGAAAGAATGGTTCGGTCAGATAATTCCCCATGTTAGCTATCAGATATTACTGTCTGTTCAAGGTTTCTTAACTATCAGCCTGACTTAAGCAGAGTACTCAGGAGGGCCATATGTACCCTATCAAGGGTATGTATACCTGATATAAAAGTTGAGTCTAATTGCTTTGTCATACCTGCAAATTTTTAGAAGGAAAAAAAAACATCACATAAAGTGTAAGAGAACAAAATTAGGCTGGGTGCAGTGGCTCATGCCTGTAATCCCAGAGCTTTAAGAGGCTGAATCAGGAGAATTGCTTGATGCTAGGAGTTCAAGACTAGCCTGGACAACATAGTGAGACTCTGTCTCTACAAAAATAAATAAAATAAAAGAGTACAAAATTACTAAAACCTAATCCCCAATAATAGGTATGCATAAAGTAAATAATTATATGTATAATACAATGAGATATATCATTTTTAAAAGGTGACTACATCAAAGGAGGGAATACAAACCTGATAAAAATTAAAAATAAAGGAAAAAAAGTGATTATAAACTGTAAATTTTGTCACCAAACTCAGAAAACTTTGGAAAAGCAAAGAGATATTATTTAAAATTATCCCAGGAAAAGTGCTCTGAAAGACTGTCCCAACACATCAGGACTTAACAATTATAAACCACTAAAGTTTATGTATGAAAATGATGGATTCTAGAAGTATATGAAGCAGTGTATGAAGTATATAAACTTCATTAGATTATGCCAAGGGGTCTTCTAAAGTAGTTGTGTAGTTTACCACCACTTCACCAAATCTTTGGTATTATAACACCTTTAAATTTTACCAATTAATAATGTGTGTAAAATGTATCTCACCGTGGTTTCAGTTGGCATATTGCTGATTACTAATAAAGTTGAAAATCTCTTCAAAGGCTGTTTATTTTTCTTCTTTCTGTTAAATGTCTATTAATGTATTTTTCCTTCTTCTCTATTGGGTTGTCTTTTATTATTGCTTTAAAATTCTTTTAATGTTGTGGACATTATCCTTTTTCAGCTGTGTGTGTTGTAATTGTTCTCCCACTTTGTGACTTGATGTTTCCTCTGTTTTAGGGGCCTTTTGATAAGTTTATGCAGTCATATTTATCTCTCTTTCATCATGTTTTATGATTTTGATGTGTTGATTAAGAATCCATTCCTATGCAGAGATTACATATTACTTCTAAAAATATTGAAGTCCTGCCTTTCATATTGAAATATTTTGTCAAGAATTGATGTTTGCATATAAAATTAGGAAAAAATCCTAGGGGGTACTATGGGAGTCACCTGCTGCTCACTTAGTTACCATTCAGAGATCCTAATACGCATGCCCTGAGTATGCTAAGCACAGAGGACTGGTGTCAGAGTCACACCTAAGTAATCTAAGAAGAGACGTTGCTGTAGTGGCCTCTGATAGCAAAGTAGACTTTGTGCAGGGTATCTGATGAGATCTTACCTGATATGCATGCAACCTGAACAAATCCAAATAGGTCACCTAGGCAATGCAGATACGCGCAGCAAATGTCCAATACTATGTTTATTTACATCTCTAGATTCATGTTTTCTTGTTTTGGCTTCTGAAGATTTCCTTCACTTCATGAATTAGCCATGCATTTTAAAATGAGTGTTTTATATTTTATCTGCATTTGAAGTGTTATTCCTTAAGTAGTGTTTTCTGAACATCTATTCAGCCATGTTGCCTGTAACAAAAGTCTGTAAGATGGTGTCAAAATGCTTTTAAGTAGAGTCTACACTAAATGAACATTAAGCCAGAGTTTGTGCTAAAGCATTGTCTTTGTTTCACAAAAAGGACAATAATTGCTCAGAGACATTAAATTTCTTTGCCAGACACAAATTTTGTTTCTGAGAACACAATTTTTTCCCATTTCTGTTTTGTTTCCAGGGTCATTAATGGTATAGTTCTCTCAAAATGTTTTCAATTCCTTTTCCTCACTCTTTCTGAAACAATTTAGTGAAAGACTGCTCCCTGAGAATCCTGGAATTGTATATGAAGAGAAAGAGTAATTGAAATTTCTGATTATTAATAATAAACTGCTGATTACAATTGGATAGTAAGTACTAAAAATTAATCATAATTATCAATTTAAACATATTTTTATGTTTATATGCTTAATATAAAATGTAACTCCTATCTTTAAAAATTAAATTTTAGAATTCAACACATTATGTATCTACTCAATTTTATCATAATTATTTGGAGAATTATTTTTCTTTCTCCCATAATCAAGTTACAGAAAAGATTTTTTCAATGTTGGGTTTTTTAGAAACAGCCTTTGAAATGGATATTTGCCTGCAAAATATTTATTGGGGAATGTTCTCTCATAAGGAAAAAGGGAAGGCAGAATTGGGTAGAGGAAGGATTAAGCCATGAGGCAATCACAATAGAGGTATTAGCTATTCTTGTGGGAGACTATCAGTGAGATGGTGCTTCAAAGGGACTGAGCCTTTTTTACCTCACATTGCTCAATTGCAGGATAAGGGGTGCCATGAAATGGGAATAAGACATAACTGTAGGCAAAGTGGCATCCTTTGACTATGAACAAATACTGGAGAGAGAATTCAACTGTGAGCTATGACAGCCAATAATCTCAGCAGCCGGGACAATGCATGCTTCAGTCCTGATTGAGTGAGAGGAATATCCCTTGGAAAGAATATAAATAATGTACTCTGGCTTTTTTTTTAATTTTAAACAAGAAAGATGGTAGGTGCTAAGCAAAAAGTGTTTTCCAATACTGACTTTTCTACTGAGTTACTTAGAGCCAAATCAATTTCTCCAATTACCTCAACCTCGAGAAAATTTAATTTAACAATCACAGAGAAAAAAAATTAGAAATTTAGAAATTAGAAAGCTTATGTGTCTTGGCTTTTTAATGAAGACTCAAATTTACTTTTATCTATTTATTATAAATAAAACACTCATTTTTTAAAGAGTAGTACTAAAATAAAATGACGCTTAAATCAGAGAAAATTTAAGAGGATACTAAACACCACTTTCTATGATATCTGTAGTGGATGCTGTAGTGTGCTGCCAAGATACCCCTTCAAGACCATGACATTCATTCCCATATCTTCCAGGAATGTTAGCTATTGACTGCTTACAATAGAGTTTTCTTTTAGAAATTGCCTTTGGTAGAAGAAAGTCACCTCCCCAAAGTCACTCTACTTTGAAGGCAACTTTTACTTAACAACCAGTTAATGTAGGAGTACAAATGTTTGGTCCCCAAGCCTTGAATTCAGACAGCTCTAAAAGGCCATCAAAGCTCCAGAGCTCCCTATATGATTAACTGAGGTCTTTCTTGCAACTGCATGGCCATTCAACCTCTCCTTTTGCCCAATCCTTCTTACCTGACTCCTTTACATATTGTCATGGCTCATTTATATATCAACTTGACTGGGTTCAGAGATGTTCACATAGTTAGTAAATATTATTTCTGGGTGTGTCTGTGAAGGTGTTTGGGAAGAGATTATCATTTGAATCAGTAGACTGAGTAAAGAAGATCTACCCACACCAATTTGTATGGACATCATTCAATCTGTTGAAGACCCAAATAGAACAAAAAGGTAGAGGAAAAGCAAATTTCCTTTCTCTTTCCTTTAGCTAAAACATTCATCTTCTCCTGCCCTCAGACATCAGAGCTCCTGGTTCTCAGGCTTTCAGACTCCAGGACGTACACCAGCCACTGCCCACCCCACTCACTCTACCTCTTGTCTCAGGTCTTTGGACTTGGACTGAATGATACCACCAAATTTCCTGGTTCTCTAGCTTGCAGAAGGCATAGTATGGGATTTCTCTGCCTCCATAATTGCATGAGACAATTTC